>NC_000013.11:78866627-79019468 GCF_000001405.40 Homo sapiens
ACAGCCAGATGCCCCTCTGAAATGAAGCTCCAAGAGGAAGGATCAGACAGCAACATTTGCCGTTCTGCAATATTTGCTGTTCTGCAGCCTCCACTGGTGATACCTAGGCAAACAGGGTCTGGAGTGGACCTCCAGCAAACTCCAACAGACCTGCAGCTGAGGGTCCTGACTGTTAGAAGGAAAACTAACAAACAGAAAGGACATCCACACCAAAACCCCATCTGTACGTCACCATCATCAAAGACCAAAATAGATAAAACCACAAAGATGAGAAACCAGAGCAGAAAAGCTGAAAATTCTAAAAATCAGAGCACCTCTTCTCCAAAGGAACACAGCTCCTTGCCAGCAATGGAACAAAGCTGGATGGAGAATGACTTTGATGAGTTGATGGTGATGGAAGTAGGCTTCAGATGATAGGTAATAACAAGCTTCTCCGAGCTAAAGGAGGACGTTCGAATCCATCGCAAAGAAGCTAAAAACCTTGAAAAAAGATTAGATGAATGGCTAACCAGAATACATAGCATAGAGAAGACCTTAAATGACCTGATGGAGCTGAAAACCATGGCACGAGAACTATGTGATGCATGCCCAATCTCTTTTATTGGGCTTTTTTTTTTTTTTTTTTTTTTTTGACTCATGACACAAGATGATTCAGGATTCAGGAGGCCTGGATCTGATCCGTGTACCTAGGAAAATTTGTTTATTTCAATCTTAACTTTATCATTTGTAACCTGAAGATAATATCTATTAACGCAAGTTAACAGGAGAATGAAAGGAGAGGGTGTATGTCACACAATAATCACTCGATTAAGTTAGTCTCTTTCTCTGAATTTTATTTTAGCAATCTTAAGAGCTTTAGACTTTTCTCTATCAACCATGGGGAGCCTCTGTTATCTCCTCTTAGCTTAGTGCCTTTCATGGTACACCTAGGATTACTATGGGACTTTCTTCTGCTTTGACATATTGCCTAGGAGTTTAGCCAAAAATGGCCTAAAATTTCTGAACTCCCAGAAATAAGTAAAATAAGACACTGAAGACCTCAAGAGTCACATCATTGAAGAGAAGAGGCCTCCACCCAGCAATGAGGTGGGTTAACCCCATGGGTTAATATTCACATGTGGAGGAAATATAGATTCCACACGGGGGGAAAGGAAACAAAGTTCAAATTGCCACACACAGCATTCAGCTTGACTGGAAGCTTCCCTGCCTGATGGGATCAGGTTGAAGTTCAGCCAGCCCAATTCTGTCATTTTTTCCTTTCTACCCAGAATCAAAGCCACAGAAAGTCAGACATTAACCTGCACTCCAGCTCCGTGAATCACAGCTAAAGCAGTTGAGATCAGGAAAATGCTCAGAATCATAAACAGTCAAGATAAAAACGCAGGCTTCCCATCTCCCCTAAATTGCCTCTTTTCAAATCTGAATGTCTGATCTTCTGTTCTAATGAAATTAATTGTATGATAAACTCAGGAATTTGCCTTCGGTGTTATATTAGTTTGGTGCAAAAGTAACGGCAAAAGCCACAATTATTTTTGCACCAATCTAATGTGACACTGAAGTGAATGTGTCTGAAAATGCATAATCTTATTTCCATTGTTGATAAACAGTTTACAGAGCTATGTCATTGTCAATATTTTAATGCGATCACATTTCACAAGTATCTGTTTGCCAGATGCCAAGAGAGGTGTGCTGTAATTCACAGTGATATATATAAAAAATGCAAATGAGATAGTCCTAGGTGGGCAGGATGATTATGGGTACTCCCTAACTGCTAACTGAAAACACTATCCACCAAAGCCTTCTCTGTGCATCAAATTCTTGCCACAGATCTTTCATTTCTTTCCTAATGGCTTTTGCACAGTAAGAAGTACACTCATCAATAATGTACATTTTTCAGGCACAGTAAAAATGTTTGTGAAAGGCTATTAATGCAAAAGCAAAATGCCCACATTGAAAACATGAATCCCCAGTTTTTTAAACATTATTTTCTTTAAAAATACTTAAAACTAAGTCTGCATCAAAAAATATATATATCCAGTAGAAAAAGTTCAGTGGAAGGACTAGCAAAAGTGCACCCATTTGAAATCTTTAGATGTTCAGGAGTTTGTCCAATAGATAATATTGGTTTCTTGGATTGTACAAATCACGCAGTTGTTAATTTCTTTTGCAATTTATATGAAAGATTATAAAAATACGCATGAGCTAAGATCCAGCATGAAAAGTTTTCTAGAAAAAAAAAGTACATTTTTACTACGGAGTTGTAAAGCCCCAGAAAAGTGGGGTGTATAATGGGAAAAGTGACAGATCCCTAACACTATAGTAGAGATGGTACTATTATAATGAGAGAAACTATTGCTTGGAACAAGAACAGCTATATTCTTCTCTCAGCTTCCACAGTCCCCACACCCCTGGAGTACCATTTGAGACAGTGATGAACTGTGGTCTCAATTCCCTTATTAGCTGTAAGACCTAAAAATTATATGTGCAATTAAAAGGCAAAATGCTGATATTACTCATAGGAAGCCCTTTGTACATTAGCAAGGTACAAAAGTCTGCTGACACTTTGCAACAGAGATAGTCAGCAGGGCAGAAGATTAATAGAGCCTCATAAATTTGCAGGGTGAATACAGTAGATGGGGCAGAATAAGCATGTTGTGTTAGAGATAAATAAAGGGCATGGTCAGCTTGACAAAACATTTAACAAGGAACACAACCAGTCCTTTTGCACAATTTGCTTGGCTGGCATTCGTCCATTTTATATAACTACATATAATTATCCCACAGCAATTGCTGCTCGTGTCACAAAGGCCTCCAACATGACCCAGAGAAGGAGCACTGGCAAAGCCAGTGACACCAATGGCTTACACATTGTGTCATACTGCCCTGTTCAGTTACTTTTCTTAATCAAAGGTTTTGATGGTAAAGGTAGCATCTCATTCCAGTCCAGTGTCCTCCTGGGGTTAATGGGCGGCAATCTCATTTCTTTGTGTTTGGATAACTTGAATGAAGGCAGGAGAGTGTGCTAAAATCCCAAAGCAAGACAGTATGGGAAATATTTTGAAATCTACTCATTATTTCTGAGATTTCTGTGATAGGGAACTGGTTTCATCCTTTTAAAAACAGATGTATAATGAGTTCATTACATAAGTTCTAACTACTTTTTGTGTGATGCTAGTCTAGGAAGCACTATTTGTTTTCCTATGATGTGTTGATTAGCTATAAGAAAACCTCAGAATATTTCAAATTTGCTTTCTCTTTTAAATGATTCCCAAGGGAAGAAGCTTATTTTAATGTCTATATGTGAAAAGTGACATGAAAATTCCTCTTAGGAATAATTTGTCTTGCAAGGAATTGCTGTTTTCTGATTCTAGAAGAGCTTGTCTCCTCAATTGCAGATCACGCATTCATTGAACAAGTGACTACGTGCCATGTTCACAAAACATGCAAGATCCACTGCTATGTAGAACATGAAATAGCCACAAATGAAAGTTTGTGGCTTCTAAGTAGCTAGATGAATTAGTAAACAATAGTCATTTGTAATTACAACTGTCAAAGGCAGTCCAAGATTTTCTACATGAGAAGATGGCAGACACCTAAGACCAGGATATTACCTGTGCAGAGTCTTGTTAGAATAGTCCATCAGAGACTGAATCTATTTAAGTTTTAAGAAACTTAATTTTCTACTCAACTACTCATTCATTTGTGTTCCAGTCCCTATTTGGAAAGAGGAGTTCAGCTGAAGATTGACGACAAAGCCATTAGCAAAGCTATGGTGAAGTTTTCCACATTTTGGTAATGTAAGGACTATTCAAGGAGATTGTTAACTAGGCAGGTATTTGAAGAGTTTGTGTTCTAACTCCTTTTGTTTCCTCTGATAGAACTGGTAGATATGGATACATGGCAGTCTTCCCTGGGGTCAGCTTGCTTGCCATTTGAATTTAAAAAGCCTCAGCTTACCATAAAGTCCTCATCTGCTAAATAACAGGTTCTTGTTGCCTTTTCTGAAGGTTATTATGAACTTTCATCTTGGGAAGGGCACTGACCATTCAAATACAAACCCTCCATACATGCCCTGGGGCAGTGATTTGTATGAACTAGTCCTCTCTGTAAATTTAGAAGCTGTATTGAAGCCCCCACCACTAAAGAGTTTGGTAATTTAAGTATGAAAGTGAGGTGGCTGAAAGACCAGGGAAGCAATGGAATATGACTTGAAAATGTGCCTACTTTTAAAAGCGTACATTTGCTAAAATGATAGGTTTTTTATTGTATGATCCCTCAGCAAGAAGCTGTAAAGAAAGGGAGAGTCAGATATGAAAATCCAATGAAACATGCTTTACAGTGCAGCAGATGAGCCTTCCAGAACCTTCCTCCGTAGTGACAGAGAATTATAGCCACACAAAACCCCCTGCTTATAGACTGCTCTTCATACATACTCATAAGTATCCCCACAACCTATCTAGGGGGTTGTTTTTCATGACAGATTTTCTCAACTGCAACGGTCTAATAAAGTAGCAATCACCTACCTGTTTTGTTTCTGCTTAATGTTCTGAGTCTGCTTTTCTCTTGGGTGTGTTGGGGGTAAACTGTTAAAATGATTGGTCTTTGGACTCTGCCTTCTGGGTGAGCATATCTAGATCTAGCAAAATAGATGTCAGTGAAAACTCTTTAAGAGACCTTGGGTTGGAAATATACTTCGGTGCCCTACTTAACAAGAACTATACTCTAATAGAACTCTCACTTCAAACTTCCATGTGCTGTTATTAGTAAACAAGCCTGAATTCTTTGAAAGGCTTTTTTTTCTCTTTTAAATTTATGAACTAAATAATGCACCCTCGCTAAGGGAATAGGCTTGCCACAGACTTATTGCAAGTAACATTAAGGAACCGCAGACATTCACATGTTTAAATAGGTATGCTAATCAGACTGTACATTGTTCACCACGTCCTGGATCCTCTTGGCAAAAAAAAAAAAAAAAAAAAAGGCTTATCTAAAAATAACATGGCATTTCATTTATAGAAAACTGGGCACTTGCTCCTTCAAGATGAATGGCATTTCAAGATTCAAATCCCTTGTTAACCTTGTAATGTGCTGCAGGTGTAACTCTTTTGTCCAAGTATTTGGAAAGAACAAAAATAAATCCCTCTTGACATTCAACTCCACAGAGCATACTTTCTGTCTCTCTGTCCCTCGTGTGTACACATGCATACACACTCATGCACATACGTATACAAACTGTAAAAAGAATTAAAATGAATTTTAATAAATAGTGTTAAAAGTGGAAGAAAAAGTCAATAAAATTTGAGAAATTTAATGAACAGATAGAAGAAACATGTCTTTTATATACTGTCTGATATGAAGCCTGGAAGATACAGACTTTAAAAAATACAATAGTTCTATCAAATCTCTTTTCTATCATTAGGATCTGAGAAGGTGCGTTTTATTGGTAACTATTAGAAACAAAGAATAGTCAATTTCATGCTGGGAATTGACCTTATATAAAATGAGTTATCTTTCCACCCAGTATGGGGGCACCTTTTAAAAAATTCCCTAAAAGTAAGTTATTCAGTTTTTGGTTGGACATCTCCAGTGATAGGGAATTTGCTATCTTATAAAGCAGCCCTTCACATTGTTAATAGGCTCTGCCACAAAATCTTTTCCTTAGACGACAAAGCTTTCTCATCAGATTACTAGACTTGGGAAGATTATTATGTGAACTTGTAAAAGCTTCTTTCTTAGATTGAAAGCAAAGGCTGATGTGATTATCCATATGAAGGAATGATTCTTCCAAAGGGATGGACTTGTGAGCCATCATTATTTCCAGGATT
Organism: Homo sapiens; assembly: GCF_000001405.40. Lineage (NCBI taxonomy): Eukaryota > Metazoa > Chordata > Mammalia > Primates > Hominidae > Homo > Homo sapiens. Next base: position 78,872,453 of record NC_000013.11, read on the forward strand.
AGGATGTTGAATGGTGTCTTTGAATTCATCTTGTCCCAGTCTCCTTAACAAGAATATCAGACTCCATCCTCTTCAACTCTTCAGGCTCCCTCAAGGCATATCTCTTCTCATTTTAGCCTGTTGCACTTTGTTAGTACCAGTTTAGTAGCAGATATCTAAGTTGGTATTATAATTAATTATTAAACCTGTGTTTCCTCCAATATGATTCCTTAAAGGCAATAACTGCAGTTTGTTCACTACAGCATTTAATATATTTATACATTTATTTAACAACAAATTATTGAGCACACCACTAGGCTCTGGGAGCATACAGCAAAATAGATAATGTCTACAGGGAATTTATTTTCTAATAGGGAAAATAACCAAGTAAATTGTTTATTATAGCACAATGTGGTAAAGACTATGATAATGTAACATACAAGATTCAGTGGGAATTTTGATAAATGCTAACATAAAGTATATATAAATCAAATTCCGGTGAGTATTTTTGTGAAGATGAACAAGACTAGATTGCAGTTGATCAGAATCCTTTTAATATGGTTTATTAATATCTTACAGTAGGTATCCCTTAATATACAGCAGGAGATGAAGGGCTGGAAAAATAGGCAGAGTCCTAGACATTAAATATTTAATGTGCTTCAAATTTATCCCTAATACATCAGATATTATGAAGTGATTTTTTGAAGGAAATAATGAAATAACTTTTATGCTTTGAAAAATAATATTCTGAAAGCTGAATTGAGAATTCGTATAATCCAGGAAAGAAGTGAAGAGGCCCTGAATTAAGGTGCAATGGTGGGAATAGCTACAAGGGGAAAAATTTGAGAAATATGTAGGAGGAAGCCATAGGCCTTGGTAACTGAGTGAATGTGTCTGGGTAACAGGTGAGAGGGAGGCACTGCCAGTGTTTCCACTGGAGGGGCTGGGAGGATCCTAAGATGGGGTGAATTTGGGGAGAGGCATGTTTGTGGGAGGTGAAGTGGTGAGTTCAGGTTTGGACCTGTTGAGTCTAAGGTAACTTATGTGACACCTAGGTAGAGAGGCTAAGCAAGTAGTTGAATAAATATGCATAATAGAGTGGCTTAGGCTGTGGGAATACACTTAGAAGTCCAAAGTGGCAGGTGAAGCTACAGATTTTGATGAAGTTGCCAAGAGCAAATTGTTTAAAAAAAAAAGAGTATAGGGCTGAGAACAAGGGCCTGAAGAACTAAGACTTAAACAGAAGCGGAGAAAGAATGGCTTAATGCTGAGCACCAAAGAAGAGGGTGTAAAATTGAGGGGAGGGGGTGCAGGAATGTCATCTAAGTTTTAATGGGGAGGGCAAGCTTGGGAATTTGTGCCTGTTTTCCCCATAACTCCTTTCAAAGTGATTATCTTTCACAGATCACTGTGGAGGGAATCAGCCCTATGTCATTAATTATCCAGATACACAGATGACTATGATCTGGGCCACATGGTCTTTCATCAAAATTCAACGAATTTATAGTTCTGTAAGGAAGTCCTGGTGTGAGAACCTTGATCAAATAAATCAGCAATGACCAAGTGGATCGATAGGGCTCTTTTTATCAGGAATCTGGGGTTATACAGACAGAGGTGGCAGCAGGTGTTGTTATGGTTTAAATTACGTCCCCCCAAAATTCATATGTTGAAATGCTAACTCACCATATCTCAGAATATGCTCTTATTTGAAAATAGGATTGTTGCTAATGCAATTAGTTAAGTTAGAAAGAAGTCATACTGAAGTAAGGCCCCTAATCCAGTGTGACTTGTGGCCTTATAAGAAGGGGGATTTTGAACACCAACGCATGCACAGAGGAACATCATGTTAAGGTGAAGGCAGACATGGCCGGGTGCAGTAGCTCACACCTGTAATCCCAGCACTTTGGGAGGCCAAGGCAGGCAGATCATGAGGTCAGGAGTTCGAGACCAGCCTGCTAACATGGTGAAACCCTGACTCTACTAAAAATACAAAAATTAGCCAGGTGTGATGGCACGCGCCTGTAGTCCCAGCTACTCGGGAGGCTGAGGCAGGAGAATCACTTGAACCTGGGAGGCAGAGGTTGCAGTGAGCTGAGATCGCGCCACTGCACTCCTACCTGGGTAACAGAGCTAGACTCCATCTCACAAAAAAAAAAAAAAAAAAAAAAAAAAAAAAAAAAGATGAAGGCAGACAGTGGGGGTAATGCTTCTACAAGCCAAGGAATGACAACAAATCAACAACAACAACAACAACAACAAAGCAGACACTATGAGAAAGACATGGAACAGATTTTTCTTCACAGCTGTCAGGAGGATCACAGCTGTCAGGAGGAAGCAATCCTGCCCACACTTTGATCTTAGCCTTCTAGCCTCCAGAACTGTGAGACAACCAGTTCTTTAACCAGTTTGTGGCACTTTCTCATGGCAGCCCTAGCAAATGAAATACATGTGTTGAGAAACACATGCAGAGAAAGTAAGCAGCAGGGTTCATGAGGTGACCAAAGCACATGCAAGTAGAAGCCATGAGAAAGAAGAGGGGGTGAGGTGGCTGTTTGGCAAAAAAAGAAGCCAAGCTGTAAAAACAGAACTGAGTTTCTACCATTGTGGAGCATGAAGGTGGGAGTCAACAGACTTTAGCTGCTGGAGGGAGAATGAGACAACCTGGTAAATTGGGGATGAGTTAAATCCTGGACTACATTATGATCCCTAAACTGTGTTTCAATCTTTGAGACAACAATACATTGCTTTTTCTGTTCTTGTTAAGAGACCTCATGGTTTACTTTTTAATTTACTTTTTAACTGTGAGGTCTGGTTACACAATCAAGAGTCCTATCTTCCTCATGTCTAGGTATATCCTCTTTATGACCACCTGTATTATTTATCTATTGCTGCGTAACATATTACCTTAAAACTTAATGGCGTAAAACAGCCAACATTTATTGTCTCATAGTTTCTGTGGGTTAGGAAGCAGTGCAGTTTAGGTGGGTGCATCTGCCTCAAATTCTCACAAGGCTACAACCCAGATATTGGTCAGGCTGCAATCTCATCTCAAGGCTCAACTGGGGAAAGACTAAAATCCAAGAGTAACTTATGTTGTTGTTGGCAGGATTCACTTCTTTCATGGCTGTTGCACTGAGACCCCAGGTTTTCTACAGCTGTTGGCCAGAGGGCTCCATCAGTTCTTTGCCAAATGGACTTTTCCATAGAGCTGTTCATATGACAGCTGGCTTCATCAGAGCAAGCAAGCAAGAGGGTAAAATGGTATGGCAGATGGGAGTGACTGTCCTTTTGTAACTTAATTTCAGCAGTAATGTCACAGGATCCTTCAGGTGTTGCTTTGTTAGCCAGAAATCTCTGTGGCTGGTGGTGCCACTGATTGAGTTTTGTTCATGCTCGCTGGGCTTGTTCCACCCACTCAGCCCTGCAGGCTGCATTCGGCTTGTGTTACCATCCCAGATCCCATGCCTGCGAAGGGTGAGCCAGGCATGGAGTGGTGAGGGGTGTGTGAATGAGCAAGCACGGGGTCCAGCCACTGTGCACAGCCAGGCATGCCAGCTGCTGTGGCGGGGCAGGCAACTCCAGGTGCCAGTACAGGTGCTGGCCCCGTGGGAGTCTGTGGTTGGACCAGACACACTGCAAGTGGCTTCCACTGTGGGCACCAGCAACTGGACAAGGGGAATGTGATGGCCCCTGAAAGCTCAGAGATACCGGGAACTGCAAAGCCCCAAAGAGGGTGTTTTAGTGTGTCACCATTCTGGCTCAGGGAACCCTGAGGTCTGGGCTCCCAGAAGGGCCACAGGTTTTTTTCTACTCGTCGTCCACAACATGGTGAGTTGGACGGGGCCCATGTTCCAGGGGGCGTGTTTCAGCCCATTTGTGTTACAGCTCTTTCAGTTCCACCACCCCACTCTGGCCTGAGGCTCCTGAACTGGCCCAGCCCTGCCACTGCTTCCTGTCACATGGGGCAGCCACCTGGTGCCAGCAGAGGGCAGGAGAGCTATAGTGTTACAGCAACTCTGGCTTGGAGAATCCCAAGGCCTGGGTCCCCAGAAGAGTTGCCACTCTTCAATCCTGCAGTCCAGGAGCATGTCACTGGCCACAGTTTGGCAAACTGACCAGGAACATGTTACAGCTCCTTTCGCTCCCACCATTTGGCAGGTCCCGAATTCTTTTGCCAGGTCCAGGAAGAATGAGGTTACATGGACAACTGGAAGGTGAGCAAGGCAGAGAGGAGTTTTATTGAGTGACAGAACAGCTCTCAGCTGAGAGGAGACCCAAAGTGGCTAGCTCCCATCTGCAGACAGGTTGTCCAACTAGTCTGAGTCTGGGGTTTATATCGGCTCAGAAGGGAGGGTATGCATACTGATTGGTCCATGGGTGGCCATGGGTGGTCCTGGAAAAAGCACTATCTTATTGGCCAAAAGGCATCAAGGAAGTTCTCACTCCCTGTCACAGACACCACTGGTAACTGGCAGCCTGGCCCCCAGGCTTCAGGCTGTCTCTGGCTTGAAGGTAGAATTTCACTGGGGACCTGCCCCCTCCCACCCAGGAAACTGTCTGCCTCCCACTGCCAACAACATGCTGTCCACAACACCTAGGCTTTCTGTGCCAAGAGACACCTGCAGGCCTGTGCCAACCTGTCCTCAGCCACCACTGCCAGCCTCTCTCCTGCACTTGTAGGTGCCCAAAATCCAGAGGGGGGCTGAGGCAGCAGGGAGCTGATGTGTTCATGCTGCCCCAAGTGCATGCACACCTGGCTGGGTTGCAACAGCATCCAGGCTCAGCCATTACTTTGCTCCACACTGGAACAGGCACTGGGAGTGGGGAGAAGCCAGAGAGTGAGAGCAGGCACTTCCAAGCCTGTGGGGCCAGGGGGCTCCCTGGGCCCCTGAGAGTGCAGGAATGCTCAGGTTTGGAGCTGTGGCTGGGTGGCTGCAGCTGCACCCAGCAGCATGGGCTTCCACCCTGGCAACTTGGTGGGGCATGGGGCTCCCACTGGGATCACCTATTCCCGGCCCCCACCAGCTCCACAGAATGCACAGCTCCAGTCATGCCTATCCTGCTGTGGCTGAAATCCTTGCAGCAGCTGCTCCAGATGGGCTGCTGCTGCCATCAGTAACATACCATTGCTTTGGACATATTCTATTCATTAGAAACAAGTCACTAGGTTCAGCTTACACTCAAAGGCCCATTACATAAGGGTGCAAATCCAAGGAGGAGAAATCACTGGGAGCCAGGTCAGAAGTTGCCTACCACACCACCCATTACTAGATGGAAACTGAGGGAGGTAATCTCATTGCAAACTGAGGAGCCCAATGAATGGAGAACACAGACAGGAGACCTTTCCCACTACAGGCTGAGCAGTCAGGTAAGAAAAGGCCAAAAAGCAATCACTGGATTTGGCAACACTGGCATTATTGGAGACCAGTGAATGCCAGTAAAGGTAGCAAGTTCAGAAAAGAGATAAGTGAAGAAACCAGATGGTGGTGGGATGAGAGTTACCAGGAGTGGTGAGGTAGATACAGTAGTGTTCAAGATTGTTGGTGTATTTGTTTTCTATTGCTCTATAATAAACCATCATAAACTTAGTGTTTTAAAACTACACAGATTTATCATCTTGCATTCTGGGAGGTCAGAAATCTTAAAAGTAAGGTGTTTAAAGGGTTGCTTTCCTCTGGAAGCTCTGGAAGTCAGTCCCTTTCCTTGCCTTTCCAGGTTCTGAAGACTGCCTGCATTCCTTGGCTAGTGGCCCCTTCCTCCATCTTCAAGACCTGAAGCCTTGCACCTTCAATGGCTTTCTCTCTGACTTCTGCTTCCAACATCATATCTCTTTCTCTGATTCTAATCTTCCTGCTTTTTACAAGGAACATTGTGATAGATTGGGATCACCTTGATAATTCAGGATAATCTATTTCAAGTTCCTTAATCACATTACAAAGTCCCTTTTGCCACATAAGGTAATAAATTTAGTTTCTGAGGATAAGGACATAGATATTTTAGGAGGTCATTATTCTGTCTACTGGAGTTAGCTAGAGTTGGAAGAAAGAGGATAATATTTGGAAGCTCAGAGTTCAGGAAAAGTATTTTGTAAACTGTGTAAATGTGTCCATTTTATCATATAACAGGCTCTGTGGATGAATAATTCTGTCTCTTTTATTGATTGATTTACAGCACCAGTAAGGGTCTACAGATGTTGAATGGAACAAAATGGTGTCTAATCTGCTCACCTTTTTCAAAACTCTGAATATACTCTGATCTACCTAATGCTAAATGATGAGTTAATGGGTGCAGCACACCAACATGGCACATGTATACATATGTAACAAACCTGCACATTGTGCACATGTACCCTAAAACTTAAAGTATAATAATAATAAAAAAAAGTGAACGAAAGCTCGGCAGCTTTTGCAAATGTCAGCAGTCTTTCCTGGGGTTGGGGAACTGTGAGGCCTAGGCCTGGCACCCAGCTTGCTAGTGAAGGTGGCCTCGTATTGCTTAGAAACGTTATGTTTCAGTTTAAATACCAGACAGTAAAAATAAAGCTCGAGGACCACCTGCACTGTTGCCAAATCATTGCCAGAATGAATAGCTTAAATAAATAAAAAATAGAAATATTTACTTCTCGATAAAAATAAAAGTAAAACCATTAAAAAAAAGGTAAAAATGAATACTCATGTTTGATGTTTGGTGAGATTAGACTTCTCAATATTTGTTCTCCTTTCTGTCCAGCTGAATAACTGACTTCTAATATTTTGCTTAATAATCAGTCCATGTTTTAAAATCAATGCATGGATAGTCAGTTGCAAAACTCAGTTCACATGACTGCAGATGGTACAGCATTGATATAAAATGGATATTTTATCTATATAACATTAAATCTGGAGGTTGCTAGGCAGTAAAACTGTCTTTGGATATTATTACCTATTTATAAAATATGCCATTTTCATTTTAGGCTTACTGGGCCTATTCTTCTACTGTAGTAAAACGAATACTTTCTACTCTAAAAATGTAACTCATGTTCATGGGATAAATTGAAATATTTAATAGAAACATCTAAACACAGTGGACTGCCATTACCACATTACCATATAGTGAATAATATCATGGATAAAAAATAGTCTAAGAAGTGCATTCCACAGGAACTAAAACATTATTTTAATTATAATCTGGTGTGTTGATTACTAAGGAAAATTTTAAAAATGTAACTATCTGATGATAAGGGAAAAACCCTTTTCTCTTGCAGCAATTGATTGAATAATTTGAAAATGGCCCATAAGACACCAAATAAATAATAGTGATATGTCTTGACCATTCACAGGGTATATATAAGTAGATATTACCTCTGTTCTTATATAAGGAAATGATAACTTAGTTATGGAGGCTAGAGAGACCCATAAATAAGTATAGATATGTTTGATAATGATAAACGAATTCACCATAGGGCTAAAGAATGGTTAAGAGGAGAAAAGAACACATTTAAAATGCATTAGGAAGTAGATTAGAGGAAAAATTTCCTGGTATTCTTCTAAGGAAGGATATTAAATACTTCCCTCCTGTGCTTTTTTCTACCCAAATTTTCATAGAAAAGGGCATAGAAGGGGCATATTTTGCTTCCTCACCTCTGAATCACAGCCACTGTTACTGATGGTTGTGGGTTGGGGCAGCCAAACTGTGAAAATAGCTGCTGGCCTACGTGATGCTTTAGTCTATCTGCTAATCCCCTGATTCCATGCAAATATTCAATTACCTTTTATTCCCGGTGTCCCTAACTCATATCCTCTTTGGTAATCTGAACAACTACTTCACTGAATCAAGAAAAGGCCAACTTCATTTGTGCCTTCACTGTCTTTTTGCTTTTACCTGAAAAATCCATTTCATCCTCCTCCTGTATTAATTCAAACTACTTTAACACTACACTCAATAACTTTCTCTCTTGAAGCCTCTCCTGCCTATATATTCTTGTTGTTCTCTTGTTTCTGGAAATTTCCGTGTATGTGTGCGTGTGTGTGTGTGTGTCTGTTAAGTCCATAGTTTGTACAATAAAATGGAGTGCTTAATTTTGTAAAGTCTTAACCTAGTTCAGCATTTTATTTTTAAGATAATATTAAAACACCTACCTCCCCTTACCCCAGCACACCATAAGACTTTAGCCAAAATTTGTCTGATAGGTGGGATTACATTTACACAAGTCCAGGAACTCATGAATAACAAAGTTGTCATTGGAAGGTAGATCAACTCTGTATCCCTTAACTCTATGCCACAGTCTCTCACCACAGATTAAATTTTCTATACTGGGAGGCAGTTTTAGGGAAAGAGAATTACAAATCAAATTATTGCTATCCTACTCATTTGTAAGAGTTTATTCTGATAGGGTGTGTAACCATGTCAGTAATTTGCCAGTTTGTTCTCAGATTCATTTCCTACCTTTGCTGTTTTGTTCTGCACTTTACAAGACTGTTCCCCAAAACTACACTTTCCTGCATTCCTGCCAGGTTTGGCCAGTGGGAGACATTGATAGGAGATTGGAGGGTGGGAAAAAGAAAAAATGCCTCCCTGATCCTGTCCAACTCCTGTTTGAGTAGCATCTCTGACAGATGCTGTGTCTCCTCCATGGCTTCATTTCCTGTCAAAAACCATTTCATTATATGGCTTCTGCTTCAGCTGTGCAGCTTCCGTCGTATTTCAGCCTCCCACCATAATGGCTGGTCTCTGAGATCTGGTCACAATTTCTCATCCCTGTATCTTTTCAGCCTTTGGAGTTGTGGCAGCTTTTTGCTGTTGATAATCTCTGGTTGCCTCCCAGTCCCCTGTTTGGCTTTCTAGCTCTTCCAACACCTCTCTATCTAATTCCACATATCAAATTTCCTCTATTGAATTACATAGCACGGGGTCTGTTTTCCTGATTGAACTGTGACTGAAACAATATCAGGGTCTCATATCTCTTCTTTGCCAAGCAGACACTAGCACCCTGGTGTGCCTGTGAGAGAGATACAAAGGCACTTGAGGGAAAAGGAGCTTAAGATTTTTGTACCGAATGGAAGAAAAAACTTATACATACTTACCGAATGTCCAGGCGCTGAATTTAGAATGTGTTCAATATTTCCATCTGAATTTATTTTAGAGGGGTAATCACAACGTTAATCTAAGGTTCTCCCAACTCTGAAACAAATATGGTTTTCTCAATTTGTTTTGAATGTATTTCTGCATCTTGTACAATGGTGTGTGATGTTTATCTTAACAGGGCTGACACAAAATCCAAGCCCCCTTCACCGCCAGAAAATAATTGTATCTTTCTGGTCTTCCTTGGCTCCAAAGAGCAGCTAAGCATACCCAAGTTCATTTAGGGAAACAAGAACTCTAAGTTAAAGGATCTATGGACAGGAAGAGAAAGAGAGCAATAAAAAGCTGAGTACAGAGACTGGGCTAATACAAGACATGATAATCAGACAAACTCTCCCTGTATATCTCCTCCTTGGCTTGGTTTGGAAACTATGTTTTCTCAGTCACAGCTCCTACATGTGGGCTTTCAGCTGTTGGCAGCTGTCCAGTTTAGCACTTCATTTCACACAACAGCTCCAATTTTCAAATATTGACTTGAGAACTTAGTCTCCCTGGTGCCAGCTCAATTCCTAAACATTATTGCATGTAAAGCTTTGATTATTATGATGTACTATTGGGGGTTCCTGTTATCAGACTAAATTCATCTTTATGGCATTCCTCTTATTGTAGTTCACCAAAAGCACCACACCTGCATGTAGCCTTACATGAAGGATGCCAAATCTGGTTTTAAATATGCATTTATGAAAAGATGTATATTTAAAGTGTACTTGAACTACGCATATTACGTATTAAGGATGATGAATGTTATGTAACTGGACACATAAATAAAATTGTGTGCTGCCCATTTTAAATGCAAAATGGTCTGTTTTTAGTATTTTAGAAGCAGAGCATTTTCATTAGCCTGACATCAGAAGGCACATTCTGCATTTGATCAGGGCTCTTGTGTGAGGTATAGTACATGGCAAAAGAGAAAAATAAGATTAATATTTATAAGTTGGTAATTGTTTTTCATAAGAAGGAATACAATATTACCACATTTCTTTCTTTCTTTTTCTTTAATTTTTTTTAATTTTTATTTTTTGAGAGGGAGTCTCACTCTATCTCCCAGGCTGGAGTGCAGCGGCGCGATCTTGGTTCATTGCAACTTCCGCTTCCTGGGTTCAACTGATTCTCCAACCTCAGCCTCCTGAGTAGCTGGGATTACAGGCGCACACCACCACACCCAGCTAATTTTTGTATTTTTGGTAGGGATGGGGTTTCACCATGTTGGCCAGGGTGGTCTGAAATTCCTGACCACAGGTGATCCATTCGCCTTGGCCTCCCAAAGTGCTGGGATTACAGGCGTGAGCAATGGTGCCCAGCCCCACATCTCTTAAATGTGAGAAAAACTGATAATTACCATGGAGAACACTACATTTCAATAAAATGCTTAAAACATAGTGATGGAGGTACTGGACTTGACATTCTAGAATCAAGAAAATCAAGGGTAACTGATTGTGAAATAGGTTATGTAGAACATAATTCAATGTAATGACTCTTATTTCTTAATTCTTTTCCACTTTATTCTCAGGTAGTTCTACCTGAGCATAAATTGTTGGGGAGATAAAACATATTGATTATTTTGAGATCTTATTAATAAATACCTTGTATTTGATGATTAAAAAATAAAGTTGGGCAAAGTGGATATGTATTGGGAAAGAATATTCAAAGCACTTGACACATTATGCACGAGGTCTTAAAAATGTGGGACAGCATGTCCACTTTAGAGATTACAATAGATCCATTATTCCAGGAGGGACATTTCCGGGGGAAGGACAGCAGGGGATAAGGCAGGTGTGAGAGGCAGAGTCCATGAGCCAAGGATATCCAGTGCTGTGATTAGAAGGTTAGCCTTTATTCATGGGTGGAGAGGAGCCAGCAGCCTGTTTTAACTGGGGGAGGGGGCTCACTGGGCCAACTCTGTCACATTGGTATTACTGAGGAACAGGGAATGAATGGCAGAGGGTGTGGGGAAAACAAAACCAATTCAGAAACTATTGCAATTATCTAGGGGAGAGTTGATGAGGATGGAATTAAGAGCGACAGTAGAGAGAGAAGGGGCAAATGAGGGTATGGGAACAATTCTGAAATATAACAAATATTTAAGAATGGAAGTTGATTAATATTATTTATGTTTCTCTTAATACCCTTCCGTATACAACTGGTTTTAATGCATATCAGTAGAAGTAGAATGTGGATAAATGTGTCTAGGCGAGAACAGAAAATCTTTCAATCATTTATTTGAGTACCATTAGAAAATAGGTGTACTCAACACAGTTAAAGGATCATATTGTCAGAATAGACATTAGCAATAGTTCAGTCTCTTCTCTCCTATTTATGCATGAATCTCATCTATGAATCTAACAGATCATTCTTTTATTCAAGTGACTCTTACCTCTCTCTACAGGCAGCCCTTCTGTTCATGTACAGCCCAAGTTATTAGTCATTTTCTCTTCTGTTAATTAGAAAGTTGTGTTGGTGAAATTTTCACCAATTGGTCTTTGTTCTTCACTCCATGATAACAAGAAAGAATCTAAATTCCGTTTTGTTTTGCTATTCTTCAGACACTTAAAGATGGTTATTATTTCAGCATTTAAATTATCTTTGGTTAGTCATCCACAGCTCCTTCATTTACATCTTTAAACTCTTTTCATTCAGGTTATCCTTCTCTGATGACAATGTCCTTCTTAGAATGTGTTGTTCCAAATTCCACAGTATTTTAGATATGGTCATATCAGTACACAGATGGAGATCCCCAGCCAACAAGTCAGAATTCATAAGTATATCTCAAATAAATATATTTGACAACATACTTGAGAGTAAGTATATTTGGGATATACTTATGAATTCTGTATAGATTTCTGGTCCAGAAACCTCTGACCTTAATTATTTGTTCTTCAAGTTACTTACCAACATCATATCTTTTCTTTACCACTTTCTCCCTGTTTCTACTACCTGGTCCCCAGCTTCTTCAAGGTGTCATAGGATTCTTATTACGGATGGAAGAACTTTTATTATTAGAAATATTTTATTTTTAGCAGATTTTGAATGATCTCAAGTCTTTGGAGAATAGAAAAGATACATTCTCACTAAGTCTTGGATAATGCTTTGACTCCTACCAACTCCTTGTGATAGATGACTCCTTGTGGAGCAATTAAATTAGCATTGGGGCAAAGGAATTTAACTGCAGAGAGGGGGGAAAATTGCTCAGTTAATCTCAAAATATATGGCTCCAGAGATAGTAGCTGTCTGACTCAACAGCCTGTCAACAGCTAAGCAATTTGCTCTGATACATACACCTTTCATTTATCATGGGTCATTCTTTCATTCTTGTTTAGCCAGCACATAACTGATTCCCTCTTTCCTCTAACCACTCATTTTTATGGTTTTATTCTGAACTCCCTCCAAGTTGTCTTTATATTTCTTTTATCTAAATGCCCCAGCTTGTTATAAAAAATAATCAGAGAGGAATATATGCTAATCTTTTGATGAAAATACTGTTAATATTAAACACTCTCTAGCTTCATCATGTTTAGCTCTGCATATGACCTTCAAAAACTTCAGTTCCTACTCTCAGGGAGTTTCCATTCCAGGAGGCTAATATAAAAAAGGTACAGACTGACTTTAGATCACATCCCATGTCTTTCCTAGGCTATTCTGAAATAAGTTTTCAAGGCAACAATATCGATTCGTTCTGTCTTTGAATAGTTCCATTAGGAGGAGTGTAATAGGGAAAGTATCAGACTAACCATGGGGTATAAGGCTGGCCCACATGAAACTGGCACAGGATTCAGTAGCATAGCTTAGGGCTGTTGCTGTCTGAAGGGTGTTTGGTGACCCTATTTAGCAAGAAGGATGGCATTGCCCAACTGTGAGAGGGATTTTATCTTCAGACCCTAGTCTGGGGAAAATATTTCCTTCAAAGGACATTACAGCTACCCATGACCCTTTATATTACCAAATGGCACAGACTGTGCAAGTAGAAACCAGCCATCAGAAACACCCCAGGCAAGTACACTCAGGTTAGAGAGAGCGCTGCAGAATTTTGCTGAAAAGACTAGAAGAAAGCCTAGCCTGTCGTAGGAATCAGTGATAAAAAAGGTTTTATCTTTTAAAGTTTGAGCAACAGCTTGAACAAACCCAAGATTTAGCATTAAGCATCCAGAAGCAAAACGTAGACTTTATAGTACACACTGGAGCAATCCTAAGAAAGCATAGGGCATGCTGACTGAATTTGAATTCTCTGTTTTCTAGTCAGTAACTAAAAATGTGCTAGTGAAACTGCTTCAGTAACAAGTCTCCATCCATCCTAGGGCACTAAAATTAGGTGTGTAGAACAAGATCTCTCAACCTCGGCACAACTGACAATTTGGACAAATAATTCTTGATTGTGAGGATTGCCTTATGCACTGTAGAATGTTTAGCAGCATCGTTGGCCTCCACCCACTATGCCAGTAGCACTACCCATACAACCTGGGGTATGTTCCTTGATTTCTTAAAGGCTCAGTTTTCTCATCTGTTAGATGGGGCTAATAATAGTACTTACCTCACAGGGCTGTCGTGAGAAATAATGTTATACAAAATCCATTAGCAGACTGACTACCATGCAGCAAGTCCAGAATATATCTGAGCTATATATCGTTTGGTTTCTGTGTCATTTACATTACAAAGAAGGGGTTCAGAACTTCTCAACATCTTCCTTCTTCAACCTCCCAAGTCAGAGATCCCTTTCAGATATTGTTAAAATAGAAATGAATTGTATGGAATTATGTAAGTATTCTGATCAATATTTTTAACCTAAAAGAAGATATATTAGGAAAGATGACTCAGGTATGACAGATTGTTGTTATAAATAGGATTTATTCCCTTTCAGTGTGCAATATTTTACTCAAGATTGACAGAAAAAGAGGGAATAGAGGTGTGGTTGAAGAAAGAAAGAGAACGATGGTTGTTCCAAAGGATTCTTTATTTATAGAGTATCCATCCTAGATTATAAATTCTAAAGAACAAAGATAAGCATCTGTATGGAATTCTGCCTCTGCTTTGCATTAGTTCTTGATGATAATGAAGAATATTTTGTTTTCTTTAAAATTCATTACAGAAACTTTTGTTGAACCAGCTTGTTAAGATAGTTACCAGGACAGGCCTGGCGCGGTGGTTCAGGCCTGTAATCCCACTACTTTGGGAGGCCGAGGTGGGCAGATCACTTGAGGTCAGGAGTTCGAGACCAGTCTGGCCAACATGGTGAAACCTCATCTCTACTAAAAATACAAAAATTAGCCAGGAGTGGTGGCAGGTGCCTGTAATCCCAGCTACTCGGGAAGCTGAGGCAGGAGAATCACTTGAACCTAGGAGGCGGAGGTTGCAGTGAGCCCAGATCGCACCACTGCACTCCAGCTTGGGTGACAAGAGCAAGACTCCATCTCAAAAAAGAAAAAACAGAAAAAGAAAAAAAAAAGACTGTTACCAGGACAAATCATTTCAGTTAAAGAGTAAGTAAGCCCTTACAAGTTTGTGTTTTTGAGTTTTTAATCTACCATTAAATCATATTTCTTCTTTCTCATCATCACTTCCAATTTCCACATACAAACACATACAGTTTCCAGGACTGCCAGTAATTCCTCTCTTAAGTTTTATCAATGTGCAAAGGGAAAACACCTAATTATAGTAAATAATTTAATAGGGTGTATTGGCCAGAAAATTAATTCATAATAGCTGGGAAACGAATGATGACAGTGGTTTGGAATGTGATTGGACCCCTGCTCAGGATAAAACAAAAAAGGGTAGAGAGGAATCTGTGATCATGATTAACAGCAGTTTATCCATTTAGAAGGAGTCATTCAGAGACACCAGAAAAATCAGGATTAAGTCACTTTTTAGGGTCTACTATGATCTGAATGTTTGTGTTCCCCTAAATTCATATGTTGAAATCCTAACCTTCACACGGGGAGGGGATTAGGTCCCAGTTTGTGCCCTTATAAGAATAGTACTCTTATAAAAGAGGTTTCAGATAATTACATCATTCTTTTCATCATGTGAGGTTACAGCAAAAAGATGGCCAGAGCAGACCCTCGTCAGACATTGAATCCTCTTGTTCCTTGATCTTAGACTTCCCAGCCTCCAGAACTGTGAGAAATAAACTTCTGTTATTTATAAACCACCAGTTCATGATACTTTATTGGCAGCCTGAATGGACTAAGACAGGGTCTTAATTAAAGACATTGGAAGTATCATAAACAGTGTACCAATTAAATTGTAAGACATAATAATTGGATGGATACTATGAACACAACAGAAGATAAAGAAATGGGGGCAAAAGTGCTGGTGAAAAATAGTAATATCAAGAAATAAAGAATGTCAAAATGAGAAGATGAAGCCTAATATATTTTGAAACAAGTTCATTTTAAAACCCCTATATTTAATTCCATTCCATTAATAATGCAGCACATCTGGGAAGAAGCATTTGGAAGAGAGCAGTACTTAAAGAGATTTACATATGATTGTGATTAAGCCCAAAAAGTAGATATGGTTCTGCAATGTGAATCTGGAAATATGGCCAGTGTGATCTGGGCTGCAGACCCTGCCATTCATTGTCATACAGAAACAGTATGAACTGTTTTTTCACTGTTGTAGAGTGACAGTTGCCCTCATAAAGGTCTTGTTCAAAAATTAAAATGAATTAGGACAGTGTCCAAGCAAACTACACAATAGATCCTTTAAGGAACAAAGTGGATAAATAAAAAACAAAAAATATGATTGCTAATATTAATAAATAAGTTGACCTTTTAAAATTTATCAATTCAGTTTAAGGTATTGTGATAGGCATTGCAGTTATAAAGATCAATAATAGTGAAGGCAGAGTAAGTAAGTAAGTTACTTCTTGCCCACACGGAGATCATAATTTAGTGAGTAAAATAGGTATTTACACAAACCAATACAAGTGTGTGTTGGGGGACAGTTAACATTCTTTGGAGGTGCAGAGTAGGAAGGTATTCAATAATTTTAGGGAAATACCAAGAAAAGCAACAGACAGAGGCATTTGAATAGGACATTGACAGATAAAGAGGATTTGGAAAGGTAGGTAAGAGAGCCATAGGCAGACTAAGGAAACAGAATGGGTGAAGGGTGGAGGGCAGGACATACAAAGGGTGTAGGATGAAGGAAAGGCGGAGGGCCAGCCAGACCAAAAGAAGAGGATGTCAGTAGAAAGACATCCTGTCTGAGGAAAGATGGCAGAAAGAATGTGTTCTCATGAGAAAGATCTGAACATTTCTTTCAACAAGGACATCACCATTCTCATGGACAAAAAAAGTGATTTTAACTTGGAGATGAATATGTTTAGAATGATCAGTTAGGTAGGAATAATAGTAATAGTAAATTCTATACTTTAAAGTTGTATAACTCAGGCGACAGCAGTTGATGAAGCATCTTAACATAAAGGCACCATAGACTCAGTAGAGAAGGGGCACATACTTGGGGTAAGATGTGGGCAAATCCTGGCTGTGAACCTTTCTACCTACTGACCATGGGGAAGTTAATAATTAGACTTGTTGAGCTTAAGATTTGTTTTCTATAAAAATAGAGAAAATAAATTCTACTTCTTAGGTTCTGTTGAAGCTATGTTTCAATAAAATAATATTTGTGAGTAAAATAATGTTTGCTACTAACAAACCAAGTGCTTATTCAATAGCAACCATGGCCTTATTATTATCACCACAATTTTCTAACTACATTATAGTGGGGCTTAATAAGTGTTTGCTACGAAAAGTTAAAAATCTTTACACTAAAGTATGAATTTCCTTATTCTTTTTAATTTACTCCCTTGTCCTAAGTCAAAACCCTAAGAAAAAAGCTATTATGACTGCAATAACTTCAGAAACATAATTCCACCAGCCCCTGGGAAATCTGGCAACATTTATCTCATCCACTTTGTTTATACTTAAGGCCAGCAGATGACTTAGACTCTAGGAAGAATACACATGTTATATCATGAGTTTAACATCATATAGATTATTGCGAATTAGTTTCATCTTCCAAATGCTAGGGTTCTGTCCCTTTATAAAGGAAACAGTTAATAATTGACATTCATTGACCATGTTGGTGCAAACACCATTGAATTAGATGCTAAGATACATTAAAAAAGTACCTATCCTCTGCCACCCCCATGGTCTCACGCCTCATCACTGCACACCTGAGCTATTCAAAAGCATCCTAACACTCCCACCTTATCTCATCCCTCTTTCCCTTGATCCATCTTGTGACATCCCTGTGGGGTAAAGCCCATGCCACCTCTTCATCTCAAAGATATCTGTTGAATTCCCATTGCCTTTAGGAAACAGTTGACCTCCTCATCCTACATTCAAGACCACATATAATCCAACCTACCCAACTTTATTGCCCTCCCTCAACTCCAATCAGGGTGGTCTCTTTATTGACCAACAAAGATTCCATGTCTCTAGTCCAAGTCTCGTTTTTACCATAATTTTCTTCCCAACCAATAAGTTCTCCACTGTCAACTAAATCCCACCTAACCTTTAGGCCAGTTATATCCAAAAAACAACAAGAGTTTAGTGGCTCATAGCAGAGACCCTAGAGTTCACCAGACTTGAGTTTTAGATCTGACCCCATTATATGCTTCTATATTAACCTGAAAGAATTACTTAACTTATCAAAACCTCAGTTCTCCATGCTACAAGATGACTAGAATAATAATATTACCTTTTTCATAGCACTGCTTTGAGGGTTAAACAAAATAATGTAACTATACCAATTCCTGGCATAAAATGGTAAGTAAAATTTGCCATTGTATATTTTTTCCTTGATTATCTCAATCCCCTTGCTAAATTTATATTTAATAAAAGTTAGCTATCCAGTATTACCAACACTAGATTAAAAACATGCTATTTAGGAAAAAATTACCAAAGTATGCCCTAAAATATTAACAGCTGGTGTACTTTTGGTGAAGTTGTTAATAACTTTGCTTTTTATCTATTTCTACCTACTTTCAAAATTTATGCAATTGAGATGCTTTGTTTTAATCATTGTAACAATTTTTCTTGGAAATATGTTTAAATTAAAATGACAGAAAATAATGTGTTGGCATGAATGTGGAGAAATTAGAGGCCTCACACATTGCTGGTGGTGATGTAAAATAGTGCAGCCACTTGGAAAACAGTTTGGCATTTCTCAAAATGGTAAACTTAGAGAATTACCATATGATCTCTCAATTCCAATCCTAGGTATCTATTCAAGGGAGTGAAAGCATATGTCCACACAGGAATTCTATACAAATGTTTGTAGTAGTAATATTCAGTAAAGCCAAAAATCGAAACCACCCAGGCCAGTGTGGTGGCTCACCCCTGTAATCCTAACATTTTGGGAGATCCAGGAACCAGATTGCTTGAGCCCAGGAGTTTGAGACCAGTCTGGGCAGCATGGAGAAACCCTGTCTCTACAAAAATACAGAAAAATAAAATTAGCCAGGTATTGTGGTGCATGCCTGCAGTTCCAGCTACTAGGGAAGCTAAAGTGGGAAGATCATTTGAGCCTAAGAAGTTGAGGCTGCAGTGAGCTGTGACTGTGCCACTGCACTCCAGCCTGGGCAACAGAGCGAGACCTTGAGAAAAAAAAAACCATTTAAATATTCATCAACTGGTGAATAAACAAACCAAACGTAATGTATCCATACAATGAAACTATTCAGCAATGAAAATAAAGTGTTGATGCATGCTGCAACGTACATGAACTACAAAAACATGCTAATAGAAGGGAGCCAGACACAAATGAACATCTAGTGTCTGATTCCATTTATATGAAAGTTTAGAATGAGTAAATCTGTAGAGACAGAAAGCAGATTAGGGCTGCCTAGGGCTGGGGGTGGGTGGGGAGAAGGAGGGACAGGAGAATTCAGTGTGGCTGCGAATGGGCACAAAGTTTTTGGGGCAGTGTTGAAAATGTTTTAACATTAAATAGTGGTGATGGCTGCACATGTATAATGTTTCAGCCAGTTTCAGAAACAGCTTGGCAGTTTCTCAAAATGTTACCATCTGACCTAGAATTCCTAAGTATCTAGTGAAAACATATCTACATAAAGATTTGTACACAAATGTTCATATCAGGATTGTGAATAACAATCGAAAAGTAGAAACAACCCAAATGTCCGTCAAATTGATGAATGAATTTTTGAAAAGCGACTGTAATAAAAACGACTGAATTGCATACTTAAAATTAGTGAATTTTATGATATTCAAATTATTCTTCAATACAGTTGTTTTTTAAAAAAAGATTTCAATTACTTTTATACACAATGGAAAACCACTTAAATTTGTAAATGAGAAAAACTGTTGAAAACAGTTTGCCATTAGTTATTAAGAATTATTCAAATAAAACATTTAAACTATATTTAAATAAATTCACATATCATTTTGAAGCTCTATAACTTATTTTTGAAGTGTAATAGCAATGGTTACAATTTGGGTAATTTACTGTGTGCTGTGTGTAATTTGCACCAGCTATGTTAGCCCTAAACATGCCAACAGTACAGTGAGGTAGGTATCATTAGCACACTGTTGCAGGTGAGAAAAACAGAGCAAATAAATAAGTTGGACAAGGTCATAGATCTAGTAAGTATGTAAGCCTGGTCTTTCTGATTTTTAAAACTCACATTCTTTCCAATCCTATAAGCCACCTTGCAGTGTTACCTCATTTCCTCTCTGTCTCCTCCTGCCTCCTCAGTTTGCCTAACTCATTACCAGGCCTCAGCTTGGATCCCGCCCCAGACACATTGTAAATTGGATTAGAAGCTGGTCCCTTAGGCTCCTTACTATTTCTCTGCTTATCACAGAGTATTTTATTTCTGTGCTTATTTGCCTTTGTCCTCCAGAGCTCAAAGGTCAGCCTTTTTGCCACTGGAACTTAAGCACCTAACACTGTGTTCAGTGCATAGTAGGTACTTGGCAAATTTTTGTTAAATGAATTAGTAAATGAATGAATGAAGAGACAAATGGTATTGATCAATTTATTATGGCAGGGAATAGAGGTGATCAGTGACTGTATAAGTCACTCTAGTTATAATCTACCAAATATATGTTATTTATTATGTCCGAATCTTTAGCCACATGCTAGGGCTACAAAGATGAATGTGACCTAGTTTCTTTTCTTGAAACTCATAATATAGTCTTCTAAGACAGGCCTACATTTGAGTAACATAAAACAGTATTTTAAGTTCCATGTTATTCACATTAGCAATAACAACTAGGTTCTGAGTGGCTGCAGTGAAGATAATGAATAATTATTTGTATATATTTATATTTGTATAAATATATAAAATTTTTATTTTTATGAAGAAAATTCATGGAATATTTAATTTTGATATGTTCCTGGACTGTTTCACATGTTTTATTTTGGACCTTATCAAAAGTTTTTATATGCTTGGGGTTCTTACAAAGAATCAAGGGCTTCCTTATGGCACCATTGTTGCTAAGGGTGCTACCAGAAACATCTCTACTCAAATTTAATCTATTTGAAGAAAAATATTTCCTTGTCTCTATAAATATTTGAAGTATCATCGAAATAACCTGAGGCAGACAAGCTTTAACACTCAAATATAATCTTCATTTCTTTCATGTCACTCTAATTTTCCTAGCTTGAGATAAATGTGATCTGACATATTGATTATCCATTCTTGACCATGGGGGGACTTTTACTCACATATTGATCTAACTGTTTAGTTTAGGGGAGTTTGTTTACACAGATGTCATATGAGGCTTCAGAAATATTGTACTTCAAAAAGACACATGATGCCATTAAACTAAGCGCTACTGTACTGTGACAGCTGCATATTCACTGGGAATAGGCCTGGTCCTCAGACTTTATCCTGGAAGGGTACCACCCTCCTGATCTGTCTGCTGTGGACATTAAGAAGTTGACAGCAACTACCACGTACCTCTGGTCGAAGTAGGTCTCCTCAGCAATACTTGTTGAAATATTTAACTTTATGGAATTGTATAATTACATATTCTGAAATTCCCTTGTTTTAAGTTTACAATCTAATGATTTTTAATAAATTTACTGAGTTATGTAACCATCACCATAATCCAGTTTGGGAACTTTTTATCCCCCCAGTAGGATCCTCATTCTCATTTATGGTTAATCCCCATTTCCGTCCCAAGCCCTGGGCCACCACTAATCTACTTCCTGTCTCTAGAGATTTGATTTTTGTGGATATTTTATATAAGTGGAAACATACAATGGGTTTTTGTGTCTGACTTCTTTCAATGAACACAATGATTTTGCATCTTATCCATGTTATTCACATATCAGAAGTCCACTCCATTTTATTGTTGAATAATCTTCATTGTATGAATGTACCATATTTTGTTTCTCTATTCACCATTTCATAGACATTCTGGTTGTTTGCACCTTTTGGCTATTATTAATAATGCTGTTATGAACATTGTGTACAAGGTTTTTTTTGTGGACACATATTTTTACTTCTGGGTGGATACCTAGGAATGAAATTGCTTGGTCATATGATAACACTAGGTTTAACATTTTAAGAAATGCCAAATGTTTTCAAAGTGGCTATACTATTTTATATTCACATCAGTAAAGTATGAGTGTCTCTTTTTTTACATCCTTATCAACATTTACTATTGTCTTTCTTTTTTATTATAGCCTTTCTAATGCATGTAAGATGATATATCATTGTGGTTATGGTTTGCATTTCCCTAATGATGTTGAGCATCCTTTTTTTTTTTTTTTTTTTTTTTGGCAGAGTCTCGCTCTGTTGCCAGGCTGGAGTGCAGTGACACGATCTTGGCTCATTGCATCCTCCGCCTCCTGGGTTCCAGCAATTCTTCTGCCTCAGCCTCCCAGGTAGCTGAGACTATAGGCACGTGCCACCATGCCCAGCTAATTTTTGTATTTTTAGTAGAGATGGGGTTTCACCATGTTGGCCAGGATGGTCTCAACCTCTTGACCTTGTTATCTGCCTGCCTTGGCCTCCTAAAGTGCTGGGATTACGGGCGTGAGCCACTGTGCCCAGCTGATGTTGAGCATCTTTTTATGTACTCGTTAGCCATTTGTGTATCTTCTTTGGTGAGCTGTCTACTCAAATCATTTGTTCATTTTAAAATGGGGTTGTTTTCTTATTATTGGATTGTAAAGTTCTTTCTATGGTCTTTTTACAAGTCCCTTATCATATAAATGACTTGCAATTATTTTATCCCATTCTTTTTAGCTTTTCAAATAGTGTCTTTTGAAGTGTGTACGTTTTTAAGTTTTATGAAGTCTAATTTTTCTATTATGGTATTATATCATGCTTTTGGTATCATATCCAAGAAATCTTTGCCTGATCCAAGGTCTCAAATTTTTTATATGTTTTATTCTAAAATCTGTATAATTTTAACTCTTACATTTATGTCTGTCATCCACTTTGAGTTAATTTTTCCATATGGTGTGGGATGGGTGTAAGTTCATCTTTTTACTTTGGATATTCAATTATCTCAATGCCATTTGTTGCAAAGATTATCATTTCCCCCATTGAATTGCCTTGGCACCTCCGTCAATATCAATTGACTATAAATAAGAGTTTATTTTTGGACTCTCAATTCTGTTCCATTGATTTGTACGTCTATCTTTATGCCAGTAATACGCTGCTTTAATACATAAGTTTTGAAAGGTGATGGAAACTGTTAAACTAAGAGATTGCTTGGGAATGACAGAATCTACCCCACATTTTAAAAAGTCATCCCATCAATATCTATTGCAAAGTACAATATAAGTGGATGATAAAAATATAAGAAAAATGAAAGTAGAAAAAATAAAGCAAGCCAGATGATATGGTTTGGCTCTGTGTCCCCACCCAAATCTCATCTCAAATTGTAATCTCTATGTGTTGAGGGAGGGAGATGATTGGGTGCAGGGAGTGGTTTTCTCCATGCTGTTTTCATGATAGCAAGAGAGTTCTTATGCAATCTGTTGTTTTTATAAGGGTTCTTCCTCCTCCGTTCATCTGTCTCTCTCCTGCTGCCTTGTAAAGAAGGTGCCCTTCTACTATGACTGTAAGTTTCCTGAGGCCTCCCTGGCCATTTGGAACTGTGAGTCAATTAAACCTCTGTATTGGTCTGTTCTCATGCTGCTAATAAGAACATACTCAAGGCTGGGTAATTTATAATGGAAAGAGGCTTAATGGCCTCACAGTTCCACATGGCTGGGGAGGGCTCACAATCATGGTGAAAGGTGAAGGAAGAGCAACAGCATGCCTTACATAGAGGCAGGCAAGAGAGTGTGTGCAGGGGAAGTCCCCTTTATAAAACCATCAGATCTCATGAAACTTATACACTATCACAAGAACAGCATGGGAAAGACCCATCCCCATGATTCAGTTACCTCCCAACAGGTCCCTCCCATGACACGTGGGAATTCTGGGAGCTACAAATCAAGATGAGATTTGGGTGGGGACACAGTCAAACCCTATCAACCCCTATCCTTTATAAATTACCTAGTCTCAGATATTTCTTTATAGGAGTGTGAAAATGGACTAATACATCAGATTGTTACACAAAATCTATATCACATGTCTTCAACATTGCTAGTTGTGATTACTATTGTGACTCTAAGCTTGCCAACAATCAGGAAGGAAATGAGAACAAATGCATAAAAATGTTTAGTAAAATTATACAATTCAACTTTTTAGTAAAAGCATAATTATTCTTGGTTTTTGGACTAGAGGGGATTTTACCCTTTGTGTGTTCATAAAAAGGAAATTGTATAATGTAATAAACAGCATCCTCACCAGAATCCTTGCTTTGAGTAAAACCAGACATTTCTGATTTTTTCTTACCGTGTTGTGCAAAGTAAATCAACTGCAATTAGTAAATTCAGGTCTTTGTAGAGGTCAAAAGGATTTGCTCCTGATTTGGTTAATCCTGGGACAGATATTTTATTATTTAAATTATTCCTCCACAAATATTGTTTTTTTCAACCAAACCTTTTGATGTATAAGGTAGCAAAGAATTCAGGTATTTACTTCTGGGAAGAATTGAAAATGCAGTGACAGTGTGTTGTACCTTAAGATCAAACCTTCATATTTTAATAATAAACTTGAACAAGGAATTGGATTGACATATTTTTATGAAAGGGGGGAAACTTATGAGGATGTTTAACTCATTGAGATAGTTAACTATCCCTTCCCCTGCAGAATGGGGTGAGACAAAACCTGTTCTTCAAGGCAGGACCAAATTAGCCTGAAGAATAAATTTCCTGGACTTTGCACATATAAAGGTTGCAGACCTAGCCATACCGCTCTCTTTCCCCCTAAAATAAAGAGGGATAATATGGGTAATTATTATTAATATTTATCCATATTGTTTAGATATAGATTATGAGATAATATTTAGGTAAATATCCTAAAATCTAGGTCTCTTTTGGTTAACTAATAGTAGAATTCTATCAGAAAACACAAACATATCAGGGATCTTAACTATACAGCATCATTTTGCAACATTCTCAAAGAGGACGATTAGTTGCTGAGAGGTATAAATCTCCCAGGTATAAAGAAGGTATAACCTTATTGTGCTTAACAGCAGATGAAGTCACTATTCCTACTGATGCTGCTTACTTTGTGTCTGGAAAACCAAAGTCAGTAGGAGAAAAATAGTTCTAGAATTGGGAAGACTTTTTCTTGATTGACTGTTGAGTGGGCAAATGTGGAGTATCATCAAGCACTGTGTCTAGGGAGGGTGTTGTCAAACCATGGATTAGGTTAGCTCAAGAGCCACTCCACTTGTCAAGAAAAAGCTAGGAAAGCAATCTTTCTTGAATGTGTGTAGAACTTACTATCCCCATGTTGTGTAAAACTGAACCTTGATCAGGTTATGCAAGAGAACCTGAGAAAAGTGCACAAAAACATAGTTATAATTATGGCCTAGGCTTTGATGATTAATTAAATCACTCTTGTGAAATAATTATCTTCCAACATTTGAGAAGCTGTGTTCAGTCACTTCAAAGTGTATTAAGAACGGTCCTGGGGCACTTAAGCCGAAAGTTACCTTGCTGTGTCTCCTCTTCACTTTTGTTTCCAATCTACTGGACAGGATTAGGTTGTCTAATTTGAATTTTGTCAAAATAGGAGAAACTTTCTGCTGAGAAGCAATGAGAAGGAACAATCTACAGTTGATGTAGGCTGATGGCCAACATCACAAAAGCATGACTCCCAACTGTGTCTCCTCTAATGAGCAGCTATCAGCAGCTTCACAATCACCCATTTCTTCACTAAGAATAGTCCAAGGCATAGAAAACCTTCATCAAGAGTCATCTTTTCTTTGCTATTCCATTCTGACACGGTGTGCACAATTTCCCCATATCCTTGGCTTCTATGTGTTGGAGGTTACACATTTTTAAATGTCCCCCTGGATGGTGTAAGGCAGTGGTTATCAAAGTGTTGTCTCTGGACAAGCAACATCAACTTTGCCTATGAAAATTTACAGAAATGCGGAGTCTCAGAATCTACCCAAGATGTAATAAATCTGGAGCTTTGAGAGTGACTATGCTGCATTTTGCATCTTTACAAGCCTTTCAGATGTTTCAGAGGCACTAATATTGGAGAAAGACTTTTGTAATGTATCAGGAGCATCTCTGCTTCAGTAAACAAAATGATCTTTGTGTACCGAAAGTCTTAAAGTCCTGTAACAGGATTATGCTGTGGATTTATGATGAATAACAGGTTTAGATTTTGTATCATTGCAAAGTCTGGGGCAGAAAATCAGTAATAATATAGTTGAACTGAAAAGCACCATCAATCAACTGTATCTAATTGATATTTATAGAAAAATTCATCCAACAACATCATAATACACATTCTTTTCAAACACACATAAAACATTCAGCAAGATAGGCCACACTTGGGGCTATAAAAGTGCTTTAATAAATTTAAAAGAATAAATGTCATACAAAGTATTATTTCTTACCACAATAAAATGATACTATAAATCAATAACAGAAAGGTATCTGAATAATTCTAAATTATTTAGTGATTAAACAACATGCTTCTAAATAAAACATGAGTCAAAGAATAAATCTCAAAAAATTAAAAAAAATTCAAACTACATGAAAATTAAAAAATACAACTTATTAGAATTTGTAGGATGCAGCAAAAGCAGAGCTTACAGGGAAATTGATAGTATAGAATGCATATATTAGAAATAATACAGATCTAAAATTAATTACCTGAGCTTCTACCTTAGGAAACTAGAAAAATAAGAGAGAATTAAATCCAAATTAAGCAAAAGTAAAGAAATGATAAAATCAGAGCAGAAATCAATAAAGTTTTAAACGGGAAAACTATAGAGAAATCCAGTGAAACCAAAAGTTCATTCTTTAAAAAGATGAACAAAACACGTAATCCTCTAATCAGACTAACCAAGAAAAGAGAAAGACACAAATTACTAATATCAGAGAAGACAAACCATTACTACTGATCCCATGGACATAAACAATGAATATTGTGAACAATTCTATACCCATAAATTTGATAATTTAGATAAAATGGACCAATTCCTCTAAAAATACAATTGACCAAAACTCACACAAGGATAAATAGATAATCTAAATAGACCTATATCTATTAAAGAAATTGAACTAATAATAATAACCTTCTAGAACAAAAAGCACCAAGATTAGATGGTTTCCCTAGGGAATTCCACCAGGCACTTAAGGAACAAATGATATCAGTTCTCTACAATTTTGTCCAGAAAACAGGTAGAGTGAGCACTTCCTAATTCATTCTATAAGCCCAAACTTTAATACCAAAACCAAACAGAAAACATTACAAGAAAGAAAATTTCAGACCATTATCTCTTATGAACAGAGATGCAAAAATCCTGAACAATTCAACAACAAAAACGAAATAGTGGGCTGTGGGACAATTTTAAAGCAGTTTATTATATACACAATTGGAATTTCTGAAGCAGTAGACAGAAAAAAAACTGATAAAATAATGACCAAAAATATTCAAATTTGAAGAAAACCATAAACTTACATATCCAAGAAGCTCAATAAACCTGAATCATTAAAAACATAAAATAACATTGCAGCAAAGAATTAAATTGTTCACCATAGGTGATAAAGAGAAGATATTTTAAACAGCTAGTGTAAATATAAACATTAAAAACAGTAAAAAATATTAAGATAATTGTATATTTCTTATTGGAAACAAGATAAGTGAAAAGACATTGAAGCAACATCTTAAATGTACCAATAGAATCGTCAGCCTAGAATTCTATGCCTAGCAAAAATATCCTTCAAAAACAAAGATGAAATAGAGATTTGATTGTCATAAAAATGTTGACAGACTTAATTGCCAAAAACCCTCACTGTAAAAAGTATTAATTTCTTCAGGTAGAAGAAAAATGATACCAGGTGGAAATAGGAATCTATACAATGCATGATGAACACTGAAAATGATAACTACAGGAATAAATAGTACCAGTTTTTCCTGTTATTTAAATCAATTTAAAAGGTAATTGACTATTTAAATACAAATAATAACAACATAGTATGGAGTTTATAACATACGTAGAGGTAAAATGTATGACAATAATACTAAGATTGGGAGAGGAGAAATGGAAGTACACTATCCTAAAGTACTTGTAGCATAAAGTAAAGTGTTATAATACCATCTGAAGGTAGACTGTGATAAACTACAGACGTAAACTTTAAACCATAATGTAACCACTAAAATTATAAAATCATCATAGCTAGTAAGCCAACAAAGTAGATAAAACTGAATCATAAAAGCTAACTCATTTCATTCAAAAGGGACTGAAAAAGAGAAAACAACAGGTGAGATAAATAGAAAACAATAGCAAGATGATCATTTTAAACATAACCATAGTGATAATTACATTAAATATTAAAAGTTTAAATAATTAAGCCAACTGTCAGATTGAATAAAAAATCAGAAACAAATATATGCTGTCTACCAGGAATATGTTTTTAAAATAGACACAAGTAGGTAAAAAGGAATGTATTAATGGTTCTAGAGAGGTTTAGAATTAATCAATTAAAATTAGCACTTAATAGTGTGTTCAATATCCAGTGGATTCTTCTAAGAAATAGTTCTTAATAGGTTTTCTGCTGTTTAGTTAGGCAAGCTTCATATGGTTTATAAAATAGTTGAGTGTCTTTTTCTTATGATTTCAACATCTTCACTATGTTTGGCTTACTTAAGGGCATCAGTTCTTTTTTTGTAATGATTAGAGAGTTTTGGTTTATCCCCTACAAGGTGGGTTATTTGGATATGAGCTCATGCAACACTACAGGTAGCTTAAAGGTGTTGATGGGAATACTTTTCTCTAACATACTAACAGGTCTATGTGAAGATTGATCTTAAGGAGGTGAGAAGGTAAGCAGAACAGCTGACTGCAATTTGGTTTAAAAGCTGATGTGTATATTGTTAAAACGGCCATAATGCTCAAAGCAATTTATACATTAAATGCCATTCTTATCAAACTACCAATGGCATTCTTCATAGAATTAGGGAAAAAAACTTAAAATTCATATGGAAAACTAAAAAGCCCAAATAGCCAAGGCAATTATAAGCAAAAAGAAGAAAGCTGGAGGCATCTCATTACCCAGCTTCAAACTATTCTACAAGGCTATAGTAACCAAAGCAGCATGGTACTGGTACAACAACAGACATATAGACCAAGGGGACAGAAGAGAGAGCCCAAAATAATACTGCACACCTACAACCATCTGATTTTTGACAAAGTTGACAAAAACAAGCAATAGGGAAAAAATTCCCTGTTCAATAAATGGTTAGCCATATGCAGAAGATCCAAACTGGACCCCCTTCCTTACACATACACAAAAAATCAACTCAAGATAGATCAAAGACTTAACTATAAGAACCTAAAACTATAAAACCCTGGAAAGTAACACAGGAAATGCCATTATGGACATAGTCTCTGTCAAAGATTTCATGATGAATACGTCAAAAGCAATCGCAACAAAAACAAAAATTAACAAATGGGATCTAACTAAACTAAAGAGCTTCTGCACAGCAAAAGAAACTATCAACAGTGTAAACAACCTAAAGAATGAGAGAAAATTTGTGCAAACCATGCATCTGACAAAAGTCTAATATCCAGAATCTATAAGAAACTTAAATTAACAAGCAAAAAACACAAACCCCAGAAAAAAAGTCAGCAAAGAGACATAAACAGACGAAGACATACACCAGACCAACAAGCATATGAAAAAATGCAATATCACTAATCATTAGAGAAATGCAAATCAAAACCACAATGAGATACCATCTCACAACAGTCCATTTTGTCTTATTAAAAAGACAAAAAATAACAGATGCTGGTGAGGTTGCAGAGAAAAGAGAATGCTTATATACTGCTGATGGGAATGTAAATTAGTTCAGCCATCATGTTAAGCAGTTTGGCAATTTCTCAAAGAACTTAAAACAGAATTACCATTCAACCCAGCCACGCCATTATTGGGTATATACCCAAAGGAATATAAGTTATTCTCCTACAAAGACACATGTACATGTATGTTCATTGCAGCAGTATTCACAATAGCAAAGACATGGAATCAATCTAAATGCTCATCAGTGATAGACTGGATAAAAAAAATATGGTACATATATACCATGGAGTACTACACAGCCATAAAAGTGAATGGGATTATGTCCTTCATAGCAACATGAATGGAGCTGGAGGACATTATCTTTAGCAAACTAATGTGGAAACAGAAAACCAAATAACGCATGTTCTCACTTATAAATGGGAGCTAAATATTGAGTACATATGGACACAAAGAAGGGAATAACATACACCAGAGCCTACCTGAGGGTTGAGGGTGGGAGGAGGGTGAAGATCGAAAGACTACCTGTAAAGTACTATGCTTACTACCTGGATGATGAAATAATCTGTATACCAAATCCCCTTGACACACAATGTACCTACATAGCAAACCTGCACGTGTATCTCTGAACCAAAAATAAGAATAAAAAGCAAAGTAAAAGCTGATGTATTAGCCCAGAATGTTTAGGATGATTCTTCAGCATTTATCAGTCAGGAATTTCTTAGACACTCCCTCAACCCTATTAAAACTCTGCAATCCCATCAGCCTCAGTTCTCACAGGAGTAGGAAAAATGTCGGAAGAAGAAGATTCAAAATGTATTCTCAGGGTCATACTGAGATATTTGGCTTTTAAAAAGTGATTATAAAGTAATGAATGGTGAGTGAGTTTTCAAAGAGACTTGAACAATATTATGAACTCTAAAAATTTTGACATTTCCAATATGTGTCTAGAAATTAATACAGGATTTTAGATAGTAATTCTTATATTTTCTCTCGTAGACTCTAGAATTGGTATACATTTAATGGTGAGCTGCTTTTGCATTTCCAAGTTTTCAATATTTCCATCTATCACAAAAGATGCAAAAGAGAAAATAACCACAACAAATCTATGCTCAAATCTATATTTAATGTCAGCGAGCTCTCTCTTTGCTGTATTTTATTGGACATCTGAGAGGGGTCTTGAGAGAAAGTCCAATTGTTTCTTTGTAGTTTATTTTCTGTGTCTCTCTCTATGTATGCTTATTGACTAATGTATCATCACACTTTATTTTATTCTAGCTTCCCTCTTATGTGAGTCTCCCTTTGTTTTTTCTCAGATTTTGGTGGGATTTCTTTTTATCTTGTAAACAGATATGTTATTAAACCAAGATACAAGTAGTGTGCAATCCTTTGTATGTATTTCTCAAAAAGGAAAATGCTTTTAGTTTGCTCTTTTAATCATTCAGACTACACTGATTCATTTACTCATTTTCTTTCCTAGGCCTGACTGGGGTGGTTGAATGAACTAAGAGCTCAGATGATGACTGTTGTATAGAACAAGCTGTTTATGATGATTACACATGTAACCTTCATATTACTGATCCCTGTGTCTACAGTAATTACTGTCATCAAATTTAGAGTTAGACATTGAGTTGTCATTGTTATTACTGTTGCTTAGGCATGAAGAGGTGAAAGGTTCATAGTATAGAAAGCTTCAAACCAGAATTTGCAGGCTCAGATCTTAGTGTTTGCCTTAACGTGGTCTCTGCTTTCTTACCATATTCCAAACGTTTTCTTCACACCTGTCTAATCACTGTTATAACTGGTAATTTCAAACAAACTCAAAATATACCTACAGTTACTGTTAAGGAGGAGACTAACAGATGTTAAAACAGACAGCCATCTAATTGACAATTGCTTTCTAATCAAAGTATTTTGAAAATGATTCTTCATGGAGAAAAAAATGGGCAAATATTTTTTAAAAGTATATACTTGTCTTGCAGAAACCTACATAGTTTCTTACATGAATGCCATATTGTCAAAATCTTTTCTTTATAATTAGCCCCTGAAACAGAGGTCCCCCTTCTTGGGTACATGGATGGGCTTCAAGGGTAAAAGTACCTGAGCTATGTACAGTTTGTGTGTGAGTGTATGTGTCTGTTCGTGTGTGTATAAGTGTGCATGTTTTCATTATTCTGGAGAATGGCTCTATAGTTCCCATCATATTTTTCAAACATCAACATAGCAAATGCCCCTCGTGTGCTCTTCCAAACCCCCTGAGCCCCACCTTGTACCTTGTCACTGCTCTGCACTGGTTTTCACCAGCTTTTTGCTTGTGCAACCTAAAAACATTTCATCTTAGGTCACACCTCTATGTCTTTCATTTTTCCCTGCCACCATCAGTACCCCTCTGGCATTCAGATCCATGGGCCACTGCTGACCAATAGGTATCAGGAGCGAACAGAACAATGATTCCCTGTTTTATCTCCAAAGGAAAAGTTCTGATTTCCATGTCCTGACATTTCTAAGAAGACCTTTTTAGGCTTCATGCATGACCAACTCAAAATACATTTTTGTGTCAGGCTTCTCTTTTTCCCTGCTTCACGCTCTCATCCCACTCTTGCTTCCAGCAAACACATTCTCAAATAAGTGATTGCCACACAAGCCTCTGTCACAAGCTAAGACACCTAATGTCTTGGAAAGTCCTAAGGTCCACTATCCAAGGACCTACACAATTTCCCACTTGGGTACCATATAGTCCAAATGTTTTGTTTAACAGGACCCAATAACTGTGGCATCTGAATTTACCTATAATGTATCCTTAGTGTGACCTAGTAAAATCTCCTCTCTAATTTAACTTTGAGGCTGTTTGTTTATAAAAAGTCTGAAGTAAATTTTCTCTCTGGGCTGGGCGCAGTGGCTCACGCCTGTAATCCCAACACTTTGGCAAGCCAAGGCAGGTGGATCACTTGAGTTCAGGAGTTTGAGACAAGCCTGGGCAACATGGTGAAGCCCCATCTCTACTAAAAATACAAACATTAGCTGGGCGTGGTGGTGGGCGCCTGTAGTCCCAGCTACTTGGGAGGCTGAGGCAGAAGAATCATTTGAACCCTGGAGGCAGAGGTTTCAGTGAGCTGAGATTGTGCCACTGCACTCTAGCCTGGGTGACAGAGTGAGACTCCGTGTCAAAAAAAAAAAAAAAAGAAAAAGAAAAAAGAAAATTTCTCTCTGAGTGACACAGAAATACTCTAATTATCATGACATTGAGGAACCTAGTTTGTCTACAGTTCACCATTGCCCATGGCTTTTGCCTTATTTCTCCATAACCAGACTATATTCATTCACTACTGCTTTATTTAAATATGTCTCTTTAGGAATGTGGTAAACAAAATTATGAGATGATGCCCAGCGACCCCATACTCTTATATAACTCTCTCCCCTTCAGTGTAGGCAGGATCTGTGGATATGATGGAACATCACTCCCTGATTATGCTTATGGTGAAGATACAAGGGTTTTGCAGATGTTACCAAAGGCCCCCATCAATAGACCTTGAGTTGGTCACAGGGAGATTATCCTGGGTGGGTCTGATTTATCAGGTGAGCCCTTAAAATAGGATGTAGGGCTTTCCTGAGCTGAGAGACTCTCTCCTACTACTCTTGAAGAAGAAGTCAGTTTGAGTTTTACAGCTTCAAGTAAATGAATTGTGCCAACAACTCTGTGAGTTTGGAAGAGGATCCTGAGCTTAGACGAGACTGTGCCTTGGCCAACATTGATTGCAGCTTTGTGAGACCCTGAGGAGAGAACCCAGCTAGGCTCTACCCAGACTCCTGACCCACAGAAACTATGAGATAATAACTGTGTTGCTTTAAGCTATTAAGTTTGTAGCAACTAGCTACATGGCAATAGAAAACTAATACATTGCACTTGTCACATAATTTTTGTTTACATTAATGCTTCCTGCTAGGCAAAACATTCCTAAAGGGCATGACTGTGTTCTTTTTATCTTGGTTTCACCAATATCTAGCAAAATGCTTATGTATAGTAAATATTTAATAAACCTTTAGTTAATAAATGACTGATGATTAACATTCTGAAATGAAAAGAACAAAAATATCCATTTAGATCTTTGTAGTGCCTTTTCATATTAACTCTTTGAAATTTCAAATCTCAGCATGTCTTGGAAAATTGTATAAAGTACTTTCAGTTTTCAAACTTCTTTCATGTATGTAATATTATTTTGAGCTGCGCTAATATTACCCATGGCAAACGAAGGTGCTAGATCCCTGGGGGCCTTGACAATTTCAAGAAACATCCCCAGGCCATACTTTAGTTCTATAGGATTGCTCACCAAAATTAATGGAGCAGATCTTTACAGAAATCTAAGACTGTGGTGTGACCTTGCCAAATTGGTGTCAGGTGCTCAAGATGGAAAACTGAAGGAAATTTAAATCTTGAACATAAATTTCTTAGTCTTAAAAAGGGATAAAACAGCATACATAAGTCTACCATACTGAATTTTCCAGATATTAATGTTTAATGCTTAATCTCTCTG
Source organism: Homo sapiens (assembly GCF_000001405.40). Classification (NCBI taxonomy): domain Eukaryota; kingdom Metazoa; phylum Chordata; class Mammalia; order Primates; family Hominidae; genus Homo; species Homo sapiens. Next base: position 78,906,442 of record NC_000013.11, read on the forward strand.
CATAGCTCAGGAACTATTGAATGAATTAATATTTCTAATGCACCTAAAAGTACTTTGATTAAAGATATTAGAGAAATACAAAAATCTGAACTTCTAATAAGATGATAGAATTGTCTAAAATATGAAAAGCATTCATCAATTGAGAGTATAGAAATTTTAAAAAGATAGTACAAATACGATTTTATGTGGAGAGGCTTTATTTTTAAAGTCCCCAAACCAAAATTAATTACTGGAATTCTTTCTTGTATCTGTTATTCTTGCTCTTTCTTGAAGAGGAGATAACTGAAGATCAATCTAGCTGTACAGATGATAGAAAAGAGAATAAATAAACCATCTTTTAAATAAATATGGTGAGTTCAGACTTTCAGACTCAGAAACTATACCCTTGGATACAGCAAATTCCATATCTGCTCTTTCTTTAATTTTAATAAATATACTTGAAATTACACTTTGATACATTGATGTGGCTATGATTATAGAATTAACTACTTAGGAAATAACTATCTTATCTATTTTGAAAGCTTGTCATTATAGTTCTCTTGAAGCCTCAAACCCCTGGACATAAATGCAATACTGAGATCAGAGGTAAAATTCTCAAAAGAAAAAAAAAGGCTATTTTGTAAGTGAGAGATAAAAAGTTATTATAGGCTTACCCTTTCTCATGTCAATTTCTTAAATGTGAAAAATATCCAATGAACCCATTAAATACATTTTGACAGAGTAACAGCAGGAGGCTTGTTGACCTTTCACCTCGTATTGATTTCCCCTTCAGTCGTTTTCCTTGGTGATTTCCACTTTTCCTGCATATATTTTGCCCCCCAGTCCACTCTCCACATGCCACTTCCGTAATCACTTGCGATGGAAACCCACACAAAGCCCTGAGCTACACTGACACTTTGGGAGAACCTTGAAAATAAAGCAGCCACATCACTCACGTCTATCAATAAGTTCCTCAGTTGGCAAATATTTTTATAAAACATAGACACACTTGCCATCTCAATGATGCAGCTGAGCACATGAACACTTGGGTGAGTCAAAATGATTATTAATTATTATTCATATGCTCATCAATTCCACCAGCATTGATCAGTGGGCCAATCTAGTTATGACACCAAAATGGAGACCCAAGAAATAGAAAGGAGGTGAAGAGCAACCTTCTCGCAATCTAGTAATAGAAAAATCCCATGTATACAAAACAATCAGGAAAAAAATCTCACGGTAAGAAATAAGTAACTAGGGTGTCATTTAGAGGTGCCAGGCAGTTGAAATTAAGTGAGGAATCTGAGTGAGCTTACTTAACCCTAAAAGAATCAAGAATAAAACTAGAAGTGGCTAGAGTTGTTCTGATTTTGTTTTCTGAAAAGCATGATTATATATCTTATCTGTTTTCAGTAAAGAATAGTCAGGGGATATGCAACAGTAGATGTTAATAAGCAGGCTCAGACTCAGTAACCCTGCAACAGAAGCTCTAGTGAAAAGGCAGAGATGGCCAGGGTAGGGAGGGAAGGACATGTAAGTTGTAAAAGTACTTTAAAAATAATCTGCATCCGGGCACAGTGGCTCATGCCTGTAATACCAGCACTTTGGGAGGCCAAGGTGGGTGGATCACGAGGCCAGGAGATTGAGACCGTCCTGGCTAACACGGTGAAACCCTGTCTCTACTAAAAATACAAAAAATTAGCTGGGCGTGGTGGTGGGCACTTGTAGTCCCAGCTACTCGGGAGGCTGAGGCAGGAGAATGGCATGAACCCGGGAGGCAGAGCTTGCGGTGAGCCAAGATCATGCCACTGCACTCCAGCCTGGGCGACAGAGCGAGACTCTGTCTCAAAAACAAACAAACAAATAAATAATAATAATAATAATAATAATAATAATAATAATAATCTGCATCTGTTTTCTGCAAGGTAGAGTAAATCTCCAAAAGGAACATGAGTCAAAATTAAGCATTTGGGGCCTGGTGAGAATGATGTTAAAATTTTGCACCCTTGTTGGCTTCGTGTGTTACCTTGTTGAGGTTGTGGACATTCTTCTCCAACATGTGGCTCTCTTCCTCTGGTTTCCTTCATGCAGTGATTTTAAAGCAGTTTGCCAGCCTCCTCATTCCAAGAAAAGCAAAGTCATTCCACATAGCATTAATATGCATTACAAGTTTGGTTGAAGATTTCTTATGGAGAGGGAAGCACATGTTTATATGAGAAAGAAACTCTTACAAATCCAGAGGCATGTAGGCTCTTGCCTGGGTCCCTCTTTGGCTGCTAGTCACAGGGGCTCCTTCCCTCCCTCCCTTTTGCATGTGCAGTGTCCATGGCCTCCTTATGTCCACTTCTGGCTCATTGGTCTTGCCTAGCTTCTCTAGGATATCTGTCCTCTTTTTATGCTAAGCACCTCAGCTCTGACTTAGCTCCAGGCTGTCATGCCAACCAGCCTTACCAGCTGTCAAATAAAGAAAAAGTGGAAAAGTAACTCCTGCTGCTGCACCACGGCGTCTATGGGGACCCTCGCCTTTGATTGATATGGGCCCCCTTTCCTTATCATCAAAGATCAGGACCGCAAGTCCCGCCTTATGGGACTTGAGGCCCTCAAGTCTCATATAATGGTGGCAAATGCTGTAGCACATGCGACAAGAACATCACTTGGACCAAAGGGGCTTCATAAGATGGTGGTGGATAAGGATGGCGATGTGACTGTAACTAATGATGGGGTCACCATCTTAAGCGTGATGGATGTCAGTCATCAGATTGCCCAGTTTGATGGTGGAAATGTCTAAGTCTCAGGATGATGAAATTGGAGATGGAACCACAGGTGTGGTTGTCCTGGCTGGTGCCTTGTTAGAAGAAGCCCAGGAGTTGCCAGACCGAAGTATTCATCCAATCAGAATAGCAGATGGCTATGAGCAGGCTGCCTGCTTTGCTGTGGAACACCTGGACAAGATCAGTGACAGCATCCTTGTTGACATAAAAGACACCAAACCCCTGATTCAGACTGCAAAAACCACGCTGGGCTCCAAAGTGGTCAACAATTGTTACCGACAAATGGCTGAGATTGCTGTGAATGCCATCCTCCCTTAACAGATATGGAGCAGAGAGGTGTTGACTTTGAGCTTATCAAAGTAGAAAGCAAAGTGGGTGGCAGCCTGGAGGACAATAAACGGATTAAGGGTGTGATTGTGGACAAGTATTTCAGTCACCCACAGATGCCAAAAAAAGTGGAAGATGCCAAGATTGTAATTCTCACATGTCCATTTGAACTACCCAAACCAAAAGCAAAGCATAAGCTGGATGTGACCTCTGTAGAAGATTATAAAGCCCTTCAGAAATATGAAAAGGAGAAATTTTAAGAGATGATTCAACAAATTAAAGAGACTGGTGCTAACCTAGAAATTTGTCAGTGGGGCTTTGATGATGAAGCAAATCACTTACTTCTTCAGAACAACTTGCCTGCGGTTTGCTAGGTAGGAGGACCTGAAATTGAACTGATTGCCATCACAACAGGAGGGCAGATCATCACCAAGTTCTCAGAGCTCATGGCCAGGAAGCTGGGCTTTGCTGGTCTTGTACAGGAGATCTCATTTTGGACAACTAAGGATAAAATGCTGGTCATCGAGCAGTGTAAGAACTCCAGAGCTATAACCATTTTTATGAGAAGAAGAAATAAGATGATTATTGAGGAGGCAAAACAATCCCTTCACGGTGCTTTGTGTGTCATCTGGAACCTCATCCGTGATAATCATGTGGTGTATGGAGGAGGGGCTGCTGAGATATCCTGTGCTCTGCCAGTTAGCCAAGAGGTGGATAAGTGCCCCACCTTAGAACAGTATGCCATGAGAGCGCTTGCCAACACGTTGGAGGTCATCCCCAAGGCCCTTTCTGAAAACGGTGGCATGAATCCTATCCAGAGTATGACCAAAGTCTGAGCCAGCCAAGTGAAGGAGATGAACCTTGCTCTTGGCATCGACTGTTTGCACAAGGGGACAAATTATATGAAGCAATAACGTGTCACAGAAACCTCGATTGGCAAAAAAGCAACAGATATCTCTTGCAACACAAATGGTTAGAATGATTTTGAAGAATGACAACATTCATAAGACTGGAGAATCTGAAGAATGAAGACAATGAGAATACTATGTAGTAAGATCCACTACTGTGATTAAATAAATGGATGTCTTGTGATGCGTCTACGGTTATTTATTACATCCTTTTTCAGACCCTGTAGATGCTATAATAAAAATTGCTGTTTGGTAACCGTAGTTTCACTTGTTCAAAGTTGTTTAATTGTGGGCACACTATCAAATTGCTAGGTTAGCACCTGTCTCTTTAATTTGTTGAATCATCTCTTAAAATTTCTCCTTTTCATATTTCTGAAGGGCTTTATAATCTTCTGCAGAGGTCACGTTTTTATATTCATTATATTAAAGGAATCTCTTTAAGCAAAAAACAAAGAAAAGAAAAAGCTACCAGGATCCACCTGCTTTCTAAGTCAATGGGAGAATGCACATTAAGGATACTAATGTCCTTACCCAAATATTCCCCTGCCGCATAAGGTTTGGAATCATGGAGTGATACTAGTAATTTAGCCTTAATACAGAAAATACAATAGGATGGAAGGTATTCATATTCTTAATCCATTCCCTTTCCCATTTCTTCAACAAATACCTCAGAGTTTCCCTTTTCTTCACAAACCCCTATTATGAACTGAATGTTTATGCCCACCCAAGCCCTAACTCCCACTGGGACTGTATTTGGAGATACTGCCTGTGAGGAGGTGATAAATGTCAAATGAGGTAATAAGGTGGGGCCCTAACCCAATAGGGCTGGAGTACTTAGATGAAGAAGAGACGTCAAAGCTCTCTCTGTCTTCCATGTGAGGACACACAAGAAAGCAACCATCTGCCAGAGACCCCTCAGCAGAAACCACATAGGCTGGCACCTTGATCATGACTTCTAGCCTTCAGAAGTCCTCCTCTCTTCCTTTTGCGTGTGCATTGTCCATGGCTTCCTTATGTCTGCCTCCTGGCTCATCTGTCTTGAGAGATAAGCCAGGAAGCAGATATAAGAAGAAATAAAATTTTTGTTGGTGAAGCCAACTAGTTTGTGGTATTTTGTCATAGCCACCTGAGCAGACTAATACAATCTCCTACTCCACAATCTCTCCATTCACTGTTAGCAGATAAGCTTGCATCTCGCTTCACTGCAAAAATTGAAGCCTTTAAGTATTAATTTCTTCAACTACCTCCTACACTACCTCCAAAAGTCTCTCCTTCCACCTGTTCTTTCCTGCTTCCCCCATCTCAGTGGAAGAGTTAACAGCACACCTGTTCAAGGCACATTCCCTCACTTTGCATTGAGATCCATCCCCTCTCACCTTTGAGCTGATAGCACTCTCCTGCTTCAAGCCCTCACATGGCCGCCCATTGCACCTTAAATAAAATTCAACTTCTTAAGATGGACTACAAGGCACTGTGACCTCACCCCCTGACTATCACCCCCCGACCTCATCTCCCACCACAATGTAGTTGTTGAATCACTGTGGCTTCTTTCTGTGTCCCAGTCACACCAAGTTCATGTCTACCCTATATGCATACACTAGTTATCATTCTATCTAGAATGCTCTTCCCCAGAGCTTCCATGGCTAGCTCCTTGTTTTCATTCAAGTCTCAGCTCAAATGTCAACCCTTTGAAAAGAACATCCAATATAAAGCCTTTCTACAGAAAGAAAGAAAAAGTAGACCTTCCATTCTCATCACATAACTCTCTGAAATTACTTTTTATTTCTCTGAAATGCCTATTCTCCTTCATTTTATTGGCTGTCTTCACCCAATAGAGTATCATCTCCAAGAAAACAAACATCTTGTCTATTATTCACTTCTATGTCCTCAGTTTCCTAAGGCAATGACTGGTACTAGTATAGCTTCTGAAATCACTGGCGAACCCATCATTGCCTCTCTTCCGTATTCCCAGCTGATCATCCCTTTGGTTATTTTTTCTCAGCATAAAAACAAACTTGAACATTTCCCATTCTAAAAGCAAAAATTTCCATCTGACCACACATCTCCTATTAGCTGCCTGCCTGTCTATTTCCTTCCCATAATGGCCATGCTTCCTTAATGAGGACGCTAAACCACTTATTTCCACCTTCTCAATACCCTTTCACTCCACAACCCACTATAATCTGGCTTTACTATCACCCTACCCACCCCAATATCTTTTACTAAGATTATAAGTGACCACCAGATTGCCACATCCAAGAGATCCTGTTCTTCCCTCATCCTGCTTGACCACCTGGGACATTTGATTTGCTTGACTATCCTCTTTTTTCTGAGACTCTCTCCTTCAACTTTAATGTAGCCACATTCTCCTACCATTTCTTTATTTACCTTATCTTTATTGACTTTTTCTTTTCCTACATGAGTATCTTTTCTACCACAGTTTAGGGAATGCAGTTCTAGTGCTTCTAGGGGGCCAGCAGGAAAGGTACAGGTATAAAAAACCTGCAGGCAATTAGCAGGAGGTGATGGGGACTGTGAGGGAGTGCAAATTGTTCCTTATCCTTTCCAGAAGCCATTCACCTTCAAGTTTTTAAAAATGCTATGTTAGCCAGGCACAGTGGCTCACGCCTGTGATCCCAGAACTTTGGGAGGCCAAGGCAAGAGGATCATTGAGCCCAGGAGTTCAAGACCAGCCTGGCAAACATGGCGAAACCCTGTCTCTGCAAGAAATACAAAAATTAGCTGGGCATAATGGTATGTGCCTGTAGTCCCAGCTACTCGGGAGGTTAAGGGAGGAGGATCACTTGAGCCTGGAAGGTCAATGCTGCAGTGAGCCATGATCATGCCACTGCACTCCAGGCAAGACCATGTCTTTAAAAAAATAAAAATAAAAATAAAAATAAATGTGATGTTAGCCAAATTGTATCTGTGGGCAAATGGAGACCACTGATTTGTAGCCTGTGCATTAAATGTTGGTGTTTCTTGAGGTGTGTCCTTGGGTTTATTATTTCTACTACATACTTTGATTTGATAACCTCACCCACAACTACAATGTCAAATACCACTGATACTTCTTCAATTCCAGAGCCTCTATATAGCATAGAGATTTATGACACAGGTAGAAGATCAGAAATATGTGAATTTGAGTCCCTTCTCAGCCATATACCAGATCTGTGGCATTAGGTAAATAACTTTACTCTGAGCCACAGTTTTCTTATATGTAAAATGAGGATGAGAGTAGATATTCTTATGAGTCTTCTGAAGATGAAATTCATGCATGTAACTTGCTTTGCACAGTATCTAGCACACAATAAGTACTCAGTGAAAGTTAGCTCTTTGGTTGAACCTCTCTGTGGAGAAGGCCAACAGACAATTCAAATTCAACATTTCAAATCCACAATTATCTTTCTTGCGCAGCTTTATCCTTGCATCACAGGCACCACTGTTTATGCAGTGTCCAGGCCAGAAGCCAGGAATCATTCTAGTGTTCTTCTTTTCCAGCTCTGCCCCATCCCACCCAGACGTTTATCTCTAAGAGGCCCAGACATTTGACCTGCATTATAGCTTATCAACTCTATACCCTTTCCTTCAGTTCTTCCATACCGAGTCTTTGCTTTTTCCAGCCTTACTGAGGAATAATTGACAAATATCAAAACATCATGTTGTTCACCATATTTGTATTCATTATAAAATGATTATCCATAATCAAGCTAATTAACATAACCATCACTTCATATAGTTATCCTTTCTGTGTGTTTGAAATGAGAACATTTAAGATCTACTTTCTTAGCAATTTTCAAGTATACAATGCATTATATTAGCTGTAGTCACTATGCTGTAAAAGAGATCTCTGGAACTTATCCTGTCTCACTGAAACTTTGTACTTTTAGAGCAATAGCTCCCCATCCCCTCCATCTGGTCCCTGGCAATCACCATTGATTTTTTCAGATTGCATACATTAGTGAGATCATGCAGTATTTGTCTTTCTGTACCTGGTTTATTTTACTTAGCATAATGTCCTCCAGGTTCATCCATGTTGTCACAAAATGGCAGATTTCCTTCTTTTTTTGTATATATATATATATATACACACACACACACACACAAGAATCTTATTCAGCTTCACACACAATAGAAAAATATATGTGTTTACATATATGTATTATATATATGTGTACACATATGTGTGTGTATATATATATATGTATCACATTTTTGGGTCCATAATATTCCATTATGGGTGTGTATAGAATATTACAGACCAAAAAATATGATATGCACAAACACACACACACACGTATGTATTATGTATGTGTGTGTTTGCATATATATTAAATAATCACATTTTTTTATCCACTTATCCGTTGATAGATACATAGGTTGATTCTTTATCTTGGCTATCGTAAATAATACTGCAATGAACATGGGAATGTAAGTATCTCTTTGACATACTGACTTCATTTCCATTGGATACATAATCTGTAGGGTATGGCTGGATCATATAGTAGTTCTATTTTTAATTTTTAAAAAATCTTTTTAGTGTTTTCCAAAATGGCTGTATGAATTTACATTCCCACCAACAGTATGCAAGAGTTCCCTTTTCTCTACATCCTTGCCAACACTTGTGATCTTGTGATCTTGTGATCTTCTGTCTTTTTGATTTAGCCATTCTAACAGATGTGCTTTGAATTTTCATTTTCCTGATGACTCCCGTTGTTGAGCATTTTTTTCATATGTCACATGCCACGTGACATTTCACTCAACAATGAACAGCACGACAGTGGTCCCATGAGATTACAGCAGAGTTGAAAAATCCCTCTTGCTTAGTGTCCCATAGCCATCATCGGTCATAGTGTAACACATTACTCACATGTCTGTGATGATGTTGGTATAAACAAATTTACTGAGATGCCAGTTATATAAAAAGCAGCATATACAATTATGTAGAGTACATACTTGATAATAGTAATAAATATGTTACTGGTATATGTATTTACTATACTATATTTTTACCATTATTTTAGAGTGTACTCTTTCCATATATAAATATATAAACTGTAGAACAGCCCCAGGCAGGTACTTCAGGAGGAATTCCAGAAGAACGCATTGTTATCATAGGAAATGACAGCTTCATGTGTCTTATTGCCCTTGAGGAACTTCCAATGGGACAAGATGTGGAGGTGAAAGACACTGATATTGATGATCCTGACCTTGTGTAGGCCTAGGCTAATGTGTGTGTTGTGCCTTCATTTTTAACAAAAAAAATTGTAAATGTAAAAAAGAAAACAAAAACAGGAAAAAAAGCTTATAGAACAAAAATATGAAGAAAATATTTTTGTACAACTATGTAATGTGTTTGTGTTTTAAGCTGTGTATTATTACAAGAGAATAAAAAGGCTTAAAAACTTAAAAAGTTTATAACATAAAAAGTTACAGTAAATAAGGTTAATGTATTATTGATAACAATTTTTTAACAAATTTGTGTATCCTAAGTGTACAGTCTACAATAATTCACATTAATGTCCTAGGCATTCACATTCACTCACCACTCACTGACTCACCCAGATCTATTCATGGTAGGTGCCCTATACAGCTTACCTTTTAAAAAATATTTTATGCCATATTTTTACTGTACCTTTTCCGTGTTTAGATATGTTTAGATATCTAAACATGGGATATCTAAACACATCTAAACACGGAAAAGGTACAGTAAAATATTTCATCGTGTTACATTAAATACCTACCATTGTGTTACAATTGCCTACAATATTCAGCAGAGTAGCATGCTGTACAAGTTTGTAGCCTAGGAGCAATGGGCTATACCATACAGCCAAGGTGTGCAGTAGGCTGTGCCATCCAGGTTTCTGTAAATACACTCCATGATGTTCACACAACAATGAAATCACCTAAGGGTGCATATCTTGGAATAGTGTCTCAGTCGGTAACACATGACTGTATTTGTACGAAAAATTTGTAGGATTTGTATGTCTTTGTTTTAGTTCATTTGTGCTGCCATAACAAAATGCCATTGACTGGGCAATTTATAAATAACATTAATTTATTTCTCACAGTACTAGAGACTGGGACTTTCAAGTGACCAGCAAGTTGCATGTCTGGTGAGGGCTCAGTTTCCACTTTCAAGATGGCGGCTTGTTGCCGCATCCTCTGGAGGGAACAAATGCTGTGTCGTCATATAGCAGAAAGGACAGAAGAGCAACACAGTGCTTCCTTCAACTTTGATCTCTTTTATAAGGATGTTAATTCCATTTATGAGGGCACCACTTTCATTATTTAATCACCTCCCAAAGGCCACCTCTTCATAGTGTTGCATTGAGAATTAAGCTTCAGCTGGAATTTTGGAGAGAACAAAAAACACTCAAATCACAGAAGTCTTCTTTAAAGATATGTCCATTCAGGTCCTTTGCCCATTTTACAACTAAGTTACTGTTTTCTTGCTATTGAGTTGTTTGAATTTCTTATTTATTTTAGATATGAATCTCTTATCAGATATATGGTTGGCAAATACTTTTTCCCATTATATAGGTTGTCTCCTCACTGTTGATTGTTTCCTTAACTGTGCAGAAGCTTTTTAGTTTGATGCAATCCCATTTGTATATTTTCACTTTTGTTGTCTGTGCTTTTGGGGTGATAGCCAAAATTTCATTGCACAGACCAATGTCAAATCTTTTTCTTTGTTTTAAGGTAGTGACAGCTCCAGGCTTTACATTCACATCTTTAGTCAATTTTGAATAGATATTTGTATATAGTATGAGGCACAAATCCAATTTTACTCTCTTGTATGTGAATGTCCAGTTTTCCCAACATCATTTATTGAAGAGATTTTCCTTATCCTACTGTGTGTTCTTGGCCTCTTTGCCAAAGATAGATTTACTGTAAATGTGTAAATTAATTTATGGGCTCTCTATTCTGTTCCATTGGCCTTGCATCTATTTTTATGATAGCAACATGCTGTTTTCATTATTATAGCTTTTGCAGTAGATTTGGAATCAGTAAATGTGATGCCTCCAGCTTCGTTTTTTTTTTTACTCAAGATTGCTTGGGTTATTTGTAGTCTTTTGTGGTTCCTTACATACTTTAACATTTATACTTATCTCTTACTTACTGCTATTTCTGTGAAACATGCCATTGAAATTTTGATAGAGATTGCATTGAATTTGTAGACTGCTTTGAGTAGTATGGGCATTTTAACAATATTCTTCAATTTATTTTGACATTGTTTTATAGTTTTCAGTGTACAAAACAAATCTTTCATCTCCTTGGTTATATGTGTTCGTAAGTATTTTATTTTTTGATGGTATTGTAAATGGGCTTTTTTTCCTAGGTTTCTTTTTTGGGTAGTTCATTATTAGTGCATAGAAAAGTTGCTGACTTTTGTATATTGATTTGTGTCCTACGACTTTTGTATATTGATTTGTGTCCTACGACTTTACTGAATTCATTTATTAGTTCTAACACAGTTTTGGTAATGTCATTAGAGTTTCGTGTGTGTGCACATGCATGTGTGTGTGTTTTTATATACATATACATATATATACTTATATGTAAAATATACTGTCTTCAAATAGAGACATTTTTACTTCTTCCTACCCAATTTCTTTCTCTTGACTTAATTGCTCTGGCTAGGACCTCCAGTACTATTTTGAGTAGAAGTGGAGATAGTGGGCATCCTTGTCTTGCTCCTGACGTTAAGTATTTCAGCTTTTCAGTTTTGAGCATTATGTCAGCTGTGGGCTAGTCATATATGGTTTTATTATATTGAGGTACTTTTTTTCTATACGCAATTTGCTGAGAGGTTTTGTTTTTTAACATGAATGGATGTCAAATTTTGTAAAATGCCCTTTTTTACGTATACTGAGTGACCATATGATTTCATATGATTTCATAACTTCAGCCTGTTAATGTGTATTCCATTTACAGATTTGCACATGTTGAATAAGCCTTGTATCTCAGGGATAAATTGTATTTGATCATGGTGTACGATCCTTTTAAAGTGCTGTTGAATTCGGTTTGCTAATGTTATTTTGAGGCTTTTTATATCTATGTTCATCAGAGATGTTGTTGTGTAATTTTCTTTTCTTGTAGCATCCTTGTCCGGCTTTGGGATCCAGTTAATGCTGGACTCATAAAATTAGTTTGGAAGTGTTCGCTCCTCTTTAATTTTTACCATATTCTTAATCTAGTCTTTATCATTTCTTCTCCAGATTACTGCCATGGCCCCTTAACTGAACTCTTTACCTCATGTGTCAACCCCCTTCAATCCATTCATTCTCTACATCTTTGTCAAAGCAATCCTTTTAAAATGAATTTTTAATCATGTCACTCCTCTGCTTGGAAACATTTCAAGTCTTTCTCCCCTCCCCCATTACCCCAATGTAATAAATAATACATTTCTGATCTGGACCTTGTTTTTACTTGAAGTATTACCTTCCATTGTCCTGCAGCCTGAACTCTTGCTTTAGCTACTCCCAATGACTTTGACCTTTTTGTTGCATGTTTCACTCTTCTAGGAATGCCCTTCCACGCTCCTCTATCAGGCTAATTGCTACCCATCTCAGTTCAAGTATTGCTGCTTCTGGAGGCCTTTCCTGGCATGCCAGACCAATCTCCCCTGGAGCATGCCTGGTGAACAGTGCTGTTTCAATTATAATGAATGAAAACAGAGAGAAAAATTGACATTACTGGATGAGAGGAATGGCTAACAGTTTGACCTAAAAGATTTGACATTCTTTTATTGTTACCAAGAGTGAGAAAAATGAAATCAGTGAGTAGTATGCAGATAAGAAGAGAGATCTAACTGGATGATTTTAGTTTAAAATACCTGTGATTTGGAAAAATAAATAAATAATAAAAAACTTAAGTAAATGATCATATAGCATCTAAATCATATCTGAATAAAATAATGTGCTAGACTGATATGCAGACACTTATAAATGACTTAACCATATGCCTGACAACTCAGACTGCCTGAGCACTGAGGAAAGCCTATCAGAATAAGTTATAGGAAAACTTAGATAATAAGAATTCATAAGGGTCAGCTAGGTTATTGATATGGTTTGGCTGTGTCCCCACCCAAATCTCATCTTGAATTGTTGCTCCCATAATTACCACATTTTGTGGGAGGGACCTGGAGGGAGGTAATTGAATCATGGGAGCAGGTCTTTCCCGTGCTGTTGTCATAACAGTGAATAAGTCTCACAAGATCTGATGGTTTTATAAAGGCAGTTCTTCTGCACACACTCTCTTGCCTACTGCCATGTAAGTCATGCCTTTCTCCCCCTTTGCCTTCTGCCATGATTGTGAGGCCTCCCTAGCCATGTGGAACTTTGAGTCTATTATACCTGTTTTATAAATAAATTACCCGGTCTCCAGTATGTCTCTATTAGCAGCATAAGAACTGACTGATACAGTTATTTATTTAGGTTAGTTAAAATATCTTTGTTAGGAGATGAGCTAAACTCTTCGAAATGAATAAAAATACATACTGCCACTTTAATATTTAATATGATTTAACTCAACTGTGTGATTATTATTACTATTTTTAGCTTTTATTGTAGGTTTGAAGTACATGTGCAGGTTTGTTATATGGTTACATTGCATGTCATGGGGGGTTGGTATACAGATTATTTTGTCACCCTGATAATAACCATAGTACCCAACAGATAGTTTGATCCTCACCCTCTTCCCAACTTCTACTCTCAGTTAGACCCCAGTGCCTATCGTTCTTTCATTTGTGCCCATGTGTACTTAATGTTTAGCTCCCACTTATAAGTGAGAACATGTAGTATTTGGTTTTCTGTTCCTGCATTAGTTTTCTCAGGATAATGGCCTCCAGCTCCATTCATGTTGCTGCAAAGGACATAAGGGCATGCCTTTTATGGCTGTGTAGTATTCCATGGTTCAACTGTATGATTAAAAAATATTTAAACATACTTCAAGATTTCTCATGAGCTTAGGAAGTTATTACTGCATTTATAAAAGTTTATATACACATTTTGATAGGACATATGTTTGTGGATATATACTGACTTTGATATATCACACACATATTTGAATATGAATACAAAATATATTACATTTTAGCATTTTTCTATATTTTAGGAAAATGCTGTATCTATTAGCACAATGTTTCTCAAACTGTGAGTCCCCATTAATTAGAGGCTCAAAAGTCAAATTAGTGGGATTTGACCAGAATTTTTAAAAATGCATAAAAATAGAATCAATAAGAAAATCTCAGAGTAACACATAATAAAGGTTTTTTCAAACATAAGTGGCAGTTAACATGTTTGAAGAATACTTACTTAGGCTTAGAAAGAAAATAAATGCAGAGCATGTGTGGCCTGTGAGGTCTCTTACTTCTCAGCCAGTGTTGAAAGCAGCTTGAAAACACCATGACCCCCTCCAGTTCATGCACAAAGACACCCTTAATGGGTGGGGCATACCAGCTTAACCCTGTAATTTCTGCACTTAGGGAGGCCAACGCAGGAAAACTGCTTGTGACCAGGAGTTTAAGACCAGCCTGGTTAACGTAGCAAGATCCCATGTCTCCAAAAAAATAAAAATAAATTAGCTGGACATGGTGATGTACACCTGTGATCCTAAGGTGGCTAAGGTGGGAGGGTCACTTGGGCCCAAAAGTTTGAGGTTGCAGTGAGCTGTAATTGCACCACCTTTGGCAATGAGAACTCAATAACCTGTTTGCTTTCTTTTCTCTTCCAGTTGCTAGCAAGTGAGAGTTGAATTCAACACACTACTGATTTTCCACGTGGTCTCTTTATCATTCTCCTGATTGCCCCCACCCTTTCCTTTTCCACAAACCCACTACCTTATTTAATTCCTATTTGTGTCTTCACTAAGTTTTTATTCCTGTGATTTTATTATAAGCACCTCAAAACCTTTCTGAAAGTTAATGCTCCTAAGTAATTCATGAGATAGAAGCATCCATTCAACTTATGGGCGACCCTACAAAACTGTAAAAATAATCCTGTACAAAAAATTAGGATATCATTTCCTATTGCCTATGGACAACTTGCAGGAAAATATGTAGGTGTGACTTCATAGTCATGAGAAGAATACTTCTTCAATCAACGTAAATTTCATTTTGTATAATTTCATTGCAATTGTCAAAAAGTTGGACAATTTTAGTTGTCTTACCTGAAAGAACAGTCAAAAAGGGACAATATGAACTCTTTCTTGTGCAACAGTAAAGTGCCTCTCTCATTTCATACATTTTAGGTGGCAATTAAACAAAAGCTGAATGAATTACCTTCATTTGATTGTAAAAAACTAAACTTATAATGCATCTTCCAGTGAAAATTTTCAGATGTGACGGCTGTGAGAATTGCCAGTTTCTTGGTGATCCTTAAGGATATTCGATCTTACATACATGTTAAGGAGCCTGGAAATCCCCATTAAAGTTTTAACAGTAATTTTGAATACTCATTCATTATACAAAACTAGAAATCATGCATCATGTTTACTATACTTTGACATTGTCCTCATCACCACTAGACCTTCTTACCTTCTTGAAAATGATTACCAGGCCTGAATTGACTACTAAGCCTGACAGCATCATGTCCCAATAGAGATAATGTAGGTAGATATTTCCAGATTCATACAATTCTAATCAGAAGGCGATAGAGTCTGAGCTAGCCCAAAGGAGTTTATCAAGCCACTACTACACCTGATATCTTATTCTAGTTTTTAATTAAGGCTGCTAATTATTCAGAATAGTACCCTTTCTCTATTTTTTAATAATGTAAACAACAAGAAGCTGATCTGAGACCACCATCTCATGACCTGTCTGAGACAGAGTTGTGAGAACGCTAATCTATGTGGAAATAATTAGATTCCAGTTCTCTCCATAGTGGTGGCATTGCTTTTAAAAAAATCAAAGAAATGTCAAAATGAAACAATGTAAACAGTCATCATTACTGCAATCACTCATATGAGATAGAAGTAGAATCTTGAGCTTCCAGGAGTTTCAGTTTAATCTCTTACAGAAAGAGTAGTTGTATTTTGGTTCTTCCGAAGCACCTGGATGCTGATTTCCAGGCCTCGTCAATGGAAATAGGAATGTGGTTGGAGAATTCCAAACAATTTTAGACAGGTGTTGAAAGACTTCAGCCAAATTTAATTTAAGGGAGTTTAATTGAGCAATGAATGATTCGTGAATTGGGCAGCCACCAGAATCATAGCAGATTCAGAGAGAGTCCAGGGGTCAGAACAAATTTATGGGCAATAAAAGTAAAGTGATATACAGAATCGAAAGTGAGGTACGGAAACAGCTAGATTGGTTACAGCTCCACATTTGCCTTATTTGAACACAGTTTGAACCTCAACAGTGTATGAGTGGTTGAAGTATGGCTGCTGGGATTGGCCAAGACTCAGCTATTGTTACAGGCGCACACTCCTCTAAGTTAGGTTTTCAATCTTGTCTACCTATTAAGTTAGGTTACAGTTTATCCACAAGGACATACAGAAGTACGGAATCCTTCTCAGGCCATATTTAGTTTGCTTTAATACAGATGTGTGATTTAACATATATCTACTTTTGCAGGCACAGGTTCTAGTGACTGTATATGTGACCTCCCCTTTTGCAATGTCAGAGAGGATTGGGAGAAATATCAAGTTCCACAAAGGCCATGAGGGACAGGGCTGTTTGCTTCATGAAGTTAATTGAGTATGGTGAGATGACTGTGATACAGGATCATGGGGCAGCTCATCTCTCCAGGCAGGGCTGCCAGATTGAGCAAATCAAAATATAGGATGTCATTTAAGTTCAAATGTCAGAAAACCAATAAATACTATTCTAGTATAAGCAAGTACTAAATTATTGCAATTATTTGCTGTTTATCTCACATTATAATTTAACTAGGTGTCCTGTATTTGATCTGGCAATCTTATTTCAGGAGGTGAATAGTTTTTAACCATTTTAGGCTTTTTTTTAGTCTAATTTAAGTTTTTATGGAAAATATTTCAGGTTGTCAGAATCTCTATTTGCCAATAAACTATGAGCATACACATGGAAGTACAGACAGCTCCCACCTGCCCTTGCTACAAGCAGAGGGGGTGGATTGAAGAATGAGGCATTGCTTTGACTTCCTTCTATAATTCTTCAGGTATTAAAAATATTGATAGTCCCCAATAAAATAGTCCAAAGGGATAGTATTTTAGTGGTCTCTAATTCTAATAATGCATTTTGTTTAAAGACAATTTTTGTGAGAGAAATTTAACTCAGGCTGTATGCTCTAGTTGTGTTAAAAACATGCATAATCTCAAAATATTTGTGTTTATGCCATTTAAACATGTCTGTGTAAGCACATACTGTCATTTGGCTTGGGATCTTTGGTTCAGACTATGAATGATTTCAAGTTTTCTTTTTTTATTTTATTTTTATTATTATAACACTAAGTTTTAGGGTACATGTGCACAATGTGCAGGTTAGTTACATATGTATACATGTGCCATGCTGGTGTGCTGCACCCATTAACTCATCATTTAGCATTAGGTATATCTCCTAATGCTATCCCTCCCCCCTCCCGCACCCCACAACAGTCCTCAGAGTGTGATGTTCCCCTTCCTGTGTCCGTGTGTTCTCATTGTTCAATTCCTACCTATGAGTGAGAACATGCAGTGTTTGGTTTTTTGTCCTTGCGATAGTTTACTGAGAATGATGATTTCCTATTTCATCCATGTCCCTACAAAGGACATGAACTCTTCATTTTTTATGGCTGCATAGTATTCCATGGTGTATATGTGCCACATTTTCTTAATCCAGTCTATCATTGTTGGACATTTGGCTTGGTTCCAAGTCTTTGCTATTGTGAATAGTGCCGCAATAAACATACGTGTGCATGTGTCTTTATAGCAGCATGATTATAATCCTTTGGGTATATACCCAGTAATGGGATTGCTGGGTCAAATGGTATTTCTAGTTCTAGATCCCTGAGGAATCGCCACACTGACTTCCACAATGGTTGAATTAGTTTACAGTCCCACCAACAGTGTAAAAGTGTTCCTATTTCTCCACATCCTCTCCAGCACTTGTTGTTTCCTGACTTTTTAATGAATGCCATTCTAACTGGTGTGAGATGGTATCTCATTGTGGTTTTGATTTGCATTTCTCTGATGGCCAGTGATGGTAAGCATTTTTTCATGTGTTTTTTGGCTGCACAAATGTCTTCTTTTGAGAAGTGTCTGTTCATGTCCTTTGCCCACTTTTTGATGGGGTTGTTTCTTTTTTTCTTGTAAATTTGAGTTCATTGTAGATTCTGGATATTAGCCCTTTGTCAGATGAGTAGGTTGTGAAAATTTTCTCCCATTTTGTAGGTTGCCTGTTCACTCTGATGGTACTTTCTTTTGCTGTGCAGAAGCTCTTTAGTTTAATTAGATCCCATTTGCCAATTTTGGCTTTTGTTGCCATTGCTTTTGGTGTTTTAGACATGAAGTCCTTGCCCATGCCTATGTCCTGAATGGTAATGCCTAGGTTTTCATGGTTAAGTTGCAAAGTCTCAGGATATAAAATCAATGTACAAAAATCACAAGCATTCTTATACACCAATAACAGAGAAACAGAGAGCCAAATCATGAGTGAACTCCCATTCACAATTGCTTCAAAGAGAATAAAATACCTAGGAATCAAAATTACAAGGGACGTGAAGGACCTCTTCAAGGAGAACTACAAACCACTGCTCAATGAAATAAAAGAGGATACAAAGAAATGGAAGAACATTCTATGCTTATGGGTAGGAAGAATCAATATCGTGAAAATGGCCATACTGCCCAAGGTAATTTATAGATTCAATGCCATCCCCATCAAGCTACCAATGACTTTCTTCACAGAATTGGAAAAAACTGCTTTAAAGTTCATATGGAACCAAAAAAGAGCCCGCATCACCAAGTCAATCCTAAGCCAAAAGAACAAAGCTGGAGGCATCATGCTACCTGACTTCAAACTATACTACAGGCTACAGTAACCAAAACAGCATGGTACTGGTACCAAAACAGAGATATAGATCAATGGAACAGAACAGAGCCCTCAGAAATAACGCCGCATATCTACAACTATCTGATATTTGACAAACCTGAGAAAAACAAGCAATGGGGAAAGGATTCCCTATTTAATAAATGGTGCTGGGAAAACTGGCTAGCCATATGTAGAAAGCTGAAACTGGATAACTTTCTTACACCTTATACAAAAATTAATTCAAGATGGATTAAAGACAAACGATTTCATGTTTTCAAACTTCTTGATCTCAGAATAGCTAGCACAGGATTATATTCTTACACACTTATGGAAACTATAAGGATTTTGCTCTTAAAGTTAATTTTTTGAATTGTTTTTTTCTCACTATGATAATGCTTCACAATTTACAATCTCCAGGCACTTTGCATACATTATCTTGGCTCATGCTCTCCGGACCCTGTGAGTGAGATAGTGCTATCTTCCTTTTAGAGAAAGGAAACTCAAGCTAAGCATATTGCCTAAGGTCACTGGACAAAGAGGTGACAGAGGCAAGAAAACCCCTCAGGTCTTCTGACCCCAGTGCACTGCTCTTTCTGTTAGGCCAAGCTATGGTCTCAGTAATGAGACTAAAATTTAAACCTTGGATACCCTTTGAGAATGTACCTCTGAAAAAGATGTGGACATACTTTTCAACTATCTAAAGACAATAATGTTTGATTAGTAAATCTCCTCCCCTCCTTGACTTTATCTCATTGGAGGTTTTATTTAAGAAGCAGGTTGTCCCAATTCTTGTGCATATCAGAGACTGAAGATGTACTGATTACCTTCCTGCCCTCTTACTGCCTGCCATGTGCCCTCACCTCCCCCTTCACCTTACTCACATCTTGCCGTATTTGGTTCCAATTCTATCCTCACAGACCTTATGAAAATGCAATGGCAGCGAATAAGGAAAGGGAAGAATAGTTAGAATGGAGAAGATGAGAGAGGCTGTGCTTTCTTCCTCCTTATTGTTTGAGGGATACAGGAGTGTAAGTCATCTCTTCGTCTTCAGACTTCATTTCACTTTATCATAATCCTTCTTCCTTGCTGTATTGTTCTTCACTGCAGACCCTGCATCTTATCCCAACACCCCTAGGGAAATGTCCAAGGTAGTTTGAGCTTTGGTGTTTTTCTGAAATGTGTGATTAATATTATTTCATTTTTCTATACTCCCAACAATTCTTCATTAGCCTCTGGTTAGAGATTTGTCTTTCTCAGTAATCTTTTTTAACCAAACCAAAAGATAATATATCATAGGTAAGTTTTTACTATCCTATCCCTGTGTTAGAAGAGACAAAACCTTACCTCACTTTAAAACATACTACAATGCCATGGTAATCAAAACAGAGTGGTACTGGCATAGAGACTGACACATAGACCAATGTAACAAAACA
Source organism: Homo sapiens (assembly GCF_000001405.40). Classification (NCBI taxonomy): domain Eukaryota; kingdom Metazoa; phylum Chordata; class Mammalia; order Primates; family Hominidae; genus Homo; species Homo sapiens. The sequence continues at coordinate 78,926,846 of NC_000013.11, forward strand.
GAGAGCCCAGAAATAAACCCACACATTTATTATGATCAATTGATTTTCAACAAAGGTGCCAAGAACACATAGTAGGGAAAGAAGAGTCTCTTTAATAAATGGTGTTGGAGAAACTGGATATTTTCATGCTGAAGAATGAAATTAAACCCTCATCTCACCCCATATATAAAAAAATCAACTCAAAATGGATTAAAGATGTGCATGTCAGACCTGAAATTATAAAACAACTAGAACCAAACATAAGAGAAAGCCTCCATGATATTGGTCTGGGTAATGATTTTTTTGATATGACCCCAAAAGCACTGGCGACAAAAGTAAAAATAGACAAATGGGGTTGCATCAAATGAAAAAGCTTCTGCACACCAATGAAAACAATTGACAGTGAAGAGACAACCTATGGAATGGAAGAAAATATTTGGAAATCATATATCCAGTAAGGGGTTAATATCTAAAATATATAAGGAACTCAGCTTAATAACAAAAGAACCCACTAATAACCAGATTTAAAAATGTGCAAAGGACCTAAATTGACACTTCTTAAAAAAAAGACATACAAATGACCAAATGTGTGTATGAAAAAACTGTTCAATATTGCTAACCATCAGGGAAATGCAAACTAAAGTCAAAATGAGATATCACCTCACACCTGTTAGAATGGCTATTATAAAAAAGACAAAATATAACAAATGCTGGTGAGAATGTGAAGAAAAGAGAATTCTTGCGCACTGTTGGTGAGAGTGTAAGTTAGTACAGCTATCACTGAAAATGATATTGAGCTTCCTGAAAATATTAGAAATAGATCATATGATTCAGCAATCTCACTTCTAGGTATGTAGTCAAAGGAAATGAAATCAGTATGTGGAAGGGATATCAGCACCTCCATGTTTACTTCAGCACCATGTTTCCATCAGTTCTACTTCCCACCCCTATCTGCCCAAGACCCACAGGGGTGATGCAGTATGAGCCTAGATGGGTGTCTGCACGTGCAGTTGGTTACATTGGAGGAGAGAAGCACTGGGCCTGAGGAATCTACAATTTTATAGCAGTCAGTAACCAAGTGTGCTCTTTGTCTTAGGAGATATTACCTCATCTCTTAAAGTTGCTGGCTATAAACACAACCCTGAAAATGCCCTGGATAAAGAGCAATCAGAGCCTTTCATTCTTATTTCTAGCAGGAACGTACAGGGATGCTCAGAGAGAATGGTGGATTGCCACTTCCAACATCAAGCACTGTTATAAAGACTTCACATTGCCTGGGCGCAGTGGCTCACTCCTGTAATCCCAGCACTTTGGGAGGCTGAGGCGGGTGGATCACGAGGTCAGGAGATCAAGACCATCCTGGCTAATACGGTGAAACCCCGTCTCTACTAAAAATACAAAAAACTAGCCAGGCGTGGTGGTGGGCGCCTGTAGTCCCAGCTACTTGGGAGGCTGAGGCAGGAGAATGGCATGAACCCGGGAGGCGGAGCTTGCAGTGAGCCGAGATCACACCACTGCACTCCAGCCTGGGCAACAGAGCGAGACCCCATCTCAAAAAAATAACCAAAAAATACTTCACATTGACCAACTCGTATTCCTCAGAATGACCCTGTAAGGGAAGTATTTTTATGATCTTCAATTATTACACAAGAGAGAATTGAGGCATGGTGAGATTTAAGCAACTCAGCTGGGGTTCTACTACTAGTAAGATGGTAAGATGTGATGTCATGTCATCTGGCTCCAAGTTCTTCCTTCTTTTCCAATGTACTATCACTTTTATTGCCAGGTCAGTAAGGATAATGTACATGTTGACCAACTAAGAGATGTTCCCCTAGCCACTCAGGTAAGAGCTCTGGGCCCATGTAGATCCACACCACACCTGCTCCCAATTCCGTGCTTTGCTCATGCTGTTTCATTATCTATAATCCACCCTCCCCATGGCCCCCTGCCCTCTGTCCCCTGTCCCCTGCCTCCCCCCCCCCGCCCCGGCCCCGACACACACACATTATCCCCTTTTCCTGTATGGCTAAATTCCTTGTCTACATTTTCAGTGTCCTACTGAGCCACTGTACATTTCCAACCAACCATTTTCACTTTCTGCGCCCTAAATGTATCTGTATGGCCTTAGCTTCTCTTTTTCAAAGGGAGAAATGTCATATTTTTTTTATTATTATTATACTTTAAGTTCTAGGGTATATGTGCACAATGTGCAAGTTTGTTACATATGTATACATGTGCCATGCTGGCATGCTGCACCCATTAACTCGTCATTTAGCATTAGGTATATCTCCTAACGCTATCCCTCCCCCCTCCCCCACCCCACAACAGTCCGCGGAGTGTGATGTTCCCCTTCCTGTGTCCATGTGTTCTCATTGTTCAATTCCTACCTATGAGTGAGAACATGCAGTGTTTGGTTTTTTGTCCTTGGGATAGTTTGCTGAGAATGATGGTTTCCAGTTTCATCCATGTCCCTACAAAGGACATGAACTCTTCATTTTTTATGGCTGCATAGTATTCCATGGTGTATATGTGCCACATTTTCTTAATCCAATCTATCATTGTTGGACATTTGGGTTGGTTCCAAGTCTTTGCTATTGTGAATAGTGCCGCAATAAACATACGTGTGCATGTGTCTTTATAGCAGCATGATTTATAGTCCTTTGGGTATATACCCAGTAATGGGATTGCTGGGTCAAATGGTATTTCTAGTTCTAGATCCCTGAGGATTCGCCACACTGACTTCCACAATGGTTGAACTAGTTTACAGTCCCACCAACAGTGTAAAAGTGTTCCTATTTCTCCACATCCTCTCCAGCACCTGTTGTTTCCTGACTTTTTAATGAATGCCATTCTAACTGGTGTGAGATGGTATCTCATTGTGGTTTTGATTTGCATTTCTCTGATGGCCAGTGATGATGAGCATTTTTTCATGTGTTTTTTGGCTGCATGAATGTCTTCTTTTGAGAAGTGTCAAAGCAATGGCAACAAAAGCCAAAATTGACAAATGGGATCTAATTAAACTAAAGAGCTTCGGCACAGCAAAAGAAACTACCATCAGAGTGAACAGGCAACCTACAAAATGGGAGAAAATTTTCGCAACCTACTCATGTGACAAAGGGCTAATATCCAGAATCTACAATGAACTCAAACAAATTTACAAGAAAAAAACAAACAACCCCATCAAAAAGTGGGCGAAGGAAATATCATATTTTTATGGCTAAGTGCCAATATAGGACTCTACTTATTTTACCTGTTTTTATACTAACATGGGTTACATGGGGGAAATGTTGATCAAAGGTTACAAAGTTTTAATTAGACAGGAGTTCTCGGAATGTATTGTATAGCATGGTGACTATGAGTTGGTCATTTCACAATGTATACATACATCAAATCATCACACTGTACACTGTAAATAAGTACAACTTTTGACAATTACACCTTAATAAAACAGAGAGGAAATGAAATATCTTCTAAAATTCAGATCTGCCATTCAGTAGAAATACAGGCAACCTCTTCTTGGGGGACACTAATAGACACCCCCCTTATTTATGGTGTACTGGGGGTATTCTTGTTTCACCATTTTATACCCCTATTATGAAAGCTACACTTTCATAACTATGTATATTCTTCATTTTGGCTTATATTATATCACATAATATTATATATGTAGTCCAGTCTTATCTCCAACTGGACTCTGGACACTTTAAGAACATGAAACTATCTTATTACATTTTCATTTTTTGGTCTCTCCAAATTAGCCCAATGCTTAGTTCATAGCATGTGCTCAATAAACCACACACAGAAGTGATTACATTGCTCTAAGCCTGGCACTATATTTCTGTACTGTACTTTCTGGTTTAAATGAAGCTTGAAGGGAGGACATAACCTAGAAGCTTATTGACCCAGTAGAGCTATGTAACTACGCAACTATGGTAAAGTGTTTTATAAATTTTCAAAAAATGTCAACAATTGTCTGTAGGATAAAACCTTCTTAAAGAAATGGCTTATTTGTAAAGATAAATATCACTTGCATAAAAATATACCTAGTTGTTTAGTTAAAAATAAAAAGATCTTATTTAGTAATCTATAGTTCAATTTTCTTCTATGTGTTCACCTAGCGTGCATTGCCATCAAATGGTATATGTGACACTTGAGTTGGAACACTTAATGCAACTAACTGATAAACAAAGTCCTTCCCATGGTGAAAACACCTGCCGTTATTTACCTATTATTTGTTTTTAAAGCATTTAAAAATATAGTCTATTTTCTACTCTTCAGATCTGTTCTGTCTCAAGCATTTTGTAAATTCAAGGAAATTAATAATTTCAACTGGCCTTTGAAATATATAAAGAAGATTATCAAAGTATCTCAAGAAGGAGAAACTGCTGCTCAGAGGGGTTAAATGAATGGTCTAAAGTCATATGGGCTTTTAAATGAATGGTTAAATGAATAGTTTAAAGAGGTACAGGAATATCTCATTTTATTGCCCTTCACTTTATTGCATTTATTACATTTTTTACAAATTGAAGATTTGTGGCAACCCTGTATCAAGCAAGTCTTTCAGCAACATTTTTGCCAACAGCATGTGTCCCCTTTGTGTCTATGTGTCACTTTTTGGTAATACTTGCATTATTTCAAACTTTTCATTATTATTACATCTGTTATGGTAATCTGTGATCAGTGATCTTTGATGTTACTATTGTAATCATTTTGAGGAATGACAAACTGTGCCTGTATAAGACCACAATTTGATCAATAAATGTTGTGTGTATTCCGACTGGTCCACCTACCAGCTGTTCCTCCATCTCTCTCCCTCTCCTCAAGCATTCCTACTCCCTGAGTCACATCAATATTGAAATTGGTCCAATTAATAACACCACAGTGGCCTCTAAGTGTTCAAGTGAGAAGAAGACTTGCATGTCTTTTACTTTAAATCAAAGCTCCAAATGATTAAGCTTAGTGAGGAAGGCATGTTGAAAGCCAAGAAAGGCCGAAATAGCTAAGACTCTTGCTCTAAACAGCTAACCAAGTTGTTAAGGCAAAAGGATACTTGTTGAAGGAAATTAAAAGTGCACTCCACATGTAAATGATAAGAAAGCAAAATAGTCTTATTGCTGATATTGAGTGGTCCGGTTAGAAGATCAAACCAGCCCCAGCATCTCCTTAAGCCAAAGCCTAATCCAGAAGATGACCCTAACTCTTTTCAATTCCATGAAGGCTAAAAGAGGTGAGAGAGCTGCAGAAGAAAAGTCTGAAGCTAGCAGAGTTTGGTTCATGAGGTTTAAGTAAACAAGCCATCTCCAAAGCATAAAAGCACTATGTGAAGCAGCAAGTGCTGGATGGAGAAGCTGCGGCAAGTTATTCAGAAGACATAGCTAAGATCATTGATGAATGTGCTATACTAAACAGATTTTTGATGAAGACAAAACAGCCTTCTTTTGGAAGAAGATGGCATCTAGGACTTTCATAGCTACAGAGGAGAAGTCAACGCCTGGCATTAAAACTTCAAAGGACAGGCTGACTTTCTTGTTAGAGGCTAATGCAGCTGGTGACTTTAAATTAAAGCCAGTGTTCATTTTCCATTTGAAAACTTGAAAGCCCTTCAGAATTATGCTAAATCTACTCTGCCTGTGCTCTATAAATGAAACAAAAGTCTGGATGACAGTACATCTTTTTATGGCATGGATTATTGAATATTTTAAGCCCACTGTTAAGACCCAGAACTCAGAAAAAAGATATCTTTCAAAATATTACTGCTAATTCACAATGTACATTTACCCAAGAGCTACAATGGAGATATACAAGAAAATTAATAGTGTTTTCATACCTCCTAACACAATATCTGTTCTACAGCCCATGTATCAAGGAGTCATTTCAACCTTCAGATCTTATTTTTTAAAGATGAATTTTATAAGGGTATCTGCCACAGATACTGATTCCTCTGATAGATTTGGGCAAAGTAAATTGAAAACCTTCTGGAAAGGATTCATCATTCTAGATTCCATGAAGAAAACTCATGATTCATGGGAGGAAGTCAAAATATCAACATTAACAGGACTTTGGAAAAAGTTGCCCCCAATCCTCATGTATGATTTTGAGGGGCTCACAACATCAGTGAAGAAAGTAACTGCAAATGTAGTAGAAATAGCAAGAGAACTAGGATTAGAAGTGGAGCCTGAAGATGTGACTGAGTTGCTGATTCTCCTGATAAAGGTTGAATGCACAAGGAGTTGCTTCTTATGAATGAGCAAAGACAGTGGTTTCTTGAGATGGAATCTACTGGTAAAGATGCTGTAAACAGTGTTAAAATGGTAACGAAGGATTTAGAATATTACATAAATTTAATTGATAAAGCAGTGTCAGGGTTTGAGGGGATAGATGACAATTTTGCAAGTCCTTTTGTGGGGAAAATGTTATCAAACAGCATCACATGCCACAGAGAAATTTTCCATGAAAAGAAGAGCCAGTTGATGTGGCAGAGCTCACTTGTCTTCTTTTAAGAAATTGCCATAGCCATCCCAACCTTCAGCAACTACCATCTTGATCATTCATCAGCCATCAACAAGCAAGACCCTCCAGCAGCAAAAGAATTATGACTTGCTGACAGTTCAGATGATTATTAGCATTTTTTAGCAATAAAGCATTTTTAAATTAAGGTATGTACATTGTTTTTTAGACATAATGCTATTGTATACTTAATAGATGACATTATAGTGTAAACATAATTTTTATATGCACTGGAAAACCAAAAATTCATGTGGCTCACTTTCTTGAGATATTTGCTCTAAGCAGTGGTCTAAAACAAAATCCACAATATCTCTGACATATGAATATGTTATTGTCAATTACTTTCTAACACTCTGCAAAACCATTTGGAAGATAAACCATTGATGTCCAATCTAGAACACACAGATTTTTCTTTCCTGCTCTTACCATCTTGTAGTGCCCATCATGTTTTCAAGTTTAGCTCTGGTGGTTGTGCTAGCATCTCCTTCATTTATAAATTGGTGAACACATAGCTTAACCCACTTTCTGTTCTTGGTTCACAAATAAAAACTGTGATCTCTTACGACAAAAATAGTTTTTCAGTATTAAGCAGTGGAAAGTTTGTAATATCTTTTCACTTTAATGGACAAAAGATACAGTGAACTGTATCGTTATCTGACCTGGGCCATCTAAGGTCCATATCTCATTAATTGCCTGTTTGATGGAGAGGCAGGGTAGCCTTCTTGCAATATTAACAGACGTTGCTTTCCCTTGTGGCTTTAATTCTTAAAACGTAAAAGATGCCGTAACCTTTCTGGCCATCTACGTAGCACTGCAGAGAGGTCCACCTGCCTACAATGATCACTGAGAACAAAATGGAAATGGCCATGGCTGAAATAGTCTAGGGTAGAAAAGGAAATCCATGCCCCGCATTGCAATAGGGCCCATGCTTATTTAAATGTAAACTGAGGGCTTCGCTGGAGAGCCAGCTCGTTCCCAGCCTCTGAAATATGGCATTAATGAAATGTCAGCTTGCGTTAAGATCACCAGTGGCCTTTGCCGCGCACATTCTTCCATGTTTCTGCACAAAGATAGCAGAGCACGGCCATGCCTCTGCTCTGGAGATCGATCCGCCTTCATGTCTGATATTACCTTACATCGCCAGGGCCAGGCGGGTGTGAGAGAGCGGGGCAGAGGGACCGTGTTCACTCACTGAACCTTGAGGTAGAGCTTTAGCAAGCAAGTGGCCGGGCTGCTGTGAGTCGCTGAACTGACTGCAGTTGGGGCCCCCTTTTAGGGTTTGCAGTGATAAGAGCAGATCTCTGAGGAGTTGAATGTCTGCGTGATCTAAAACCAGGGCAGTCAAGCTGAAGAGGATGTGTGCACTAACCTGTTTGCACTGAATACTCTCCATAAATAATTTACAACCATGACTGCTAGCTATTATTACAAAAATACCGGATTGCATTTTGACACATGCATCCAGCTTGTAAGTCAATAGATACGGTTTCACCTAGTGTGTGCAGACTTGGCTTAAGTCACCCATCCAAGTGTGTTTTCCAACAATGTAATTTAATACTGCCAAACCAGAGGGAGAAAGCGCTTCCCAAGAAGTCTGTGCCTGCAACAAAATGATAAATTGTCTTTCCAAGTGCTTATTTTAGTATTCCTTAATAAGCTTCTGATTTTCTTCTCCCCTGGATAACATTCTTGTGAATTTCAAGTCAGTTGCACCTAATGTTAAAATGAAAGTGAATGTGAGAAATATTCTCCTATGTCTCACATTCAAAGGATATCTTCTATTATCACTGATTGGTGTTTTCTCTGAGAGGCACTGGAACCCACAGGAAGCATTTCACTACTGGTTAATCTTAACCATCCTCCTCACCTCTCCAAAATAGCAGTATGGCTTTCTTTAGACTGGCATTTTTTTCCAAAGAGGAGAGTATTGCCCCATGAAGACAACCCAAGACTTTGTAAATTCTTTTCAGGAAGTAGAAAATCAGCTCCTACTTTCTGTCGTCTCAGAAATCTGAAATGAAGCAGCTTAGTAAATATGCAAGAAAAGAGTCACATTAGAGCTCCTCATGATGGCTGGTAAGGTTACATGACACTTAGTGGTTTTTGTGTTTGTTTGTTTGTTTTAAGAGAAAGACCGAGAACGCCATTCAGATATTACTGTCTTTATGAACAATCAATAGCAGTGTTGCAGGGTCTTCCTTATTCTTTGATGAGGAACATTTATATGCAACGAGGGATTGCATGTATATTTAATAAGAAACTCCATTATGTGTACACATGGTGAGAGAAAGGAAAAAGATGTTTGTGCTGGCTGTGGTAATGCTATAATAAGAAATGTGTCTAAAAATTACTTGCTACAGATTTAAAAGGATAATCTTAAGTGGAGGAAAAGGCAGGTAGGAAACGGTGGTTCCAGGCATAGATGGCTTTTAAATATTCCCATGCCATAAGTATAAAGCATCTGACAATGAGCTGTTGATAACACACAATATTCTCACAATACAAACCAGCTATTCTACTAGGGTAAAATGCTTAGAATTTGGAAAAAGGAAATTTGTGGCACAGGAAGAATTTTCTGTCAGAATGGTCTTTTTCTACATCTGCTTACATGTAAACATACACAGGAATGTTAGCAGTCCTTTCATTAAAGGCTTATTTTCCTTGATAGGGGATTATTCAGTAGCAGTGGCCCTGGGTTGGAAGAGGAGTCTCCTGTGCAGATACACCTGCACTTCATCTGAAAAAATAATTTTGGAATGTATGACACTTTAAATAGGCTGGAGTATCTGGGTAATTAATTGACTCATAAATTCTTTCAAAGCTGAAATCTTAAAAGAAAAAATCATTGTCAACAAATACCATCCAATAGCATTAATCCAATTGTAAGAAATTTTTAACAAGTGAATTACATGTTTATTAAGGTTTGAGTAGCCTAATATGCTAATTGGAGAAAATCAGGCATACAAATAATAGAAGAGAATAACTTTAAATTATTTTAAAATAAGGTAATATTACCTTTGCAGATTTTTATATATCTATATCTACCTTAATTCTACTTTCTTCCTTATGTCTTCCATTCACCCTTAAACTCTATCTCGATTTTCACCTACTTTCCATGTAGCGAAAGAAGATCTTACCAACTGAACAGCTTTCTGGATGCTTGCCTTGACTCTGGATGCCCCCTTCTCCTATTTGTCACCTGTGTAGATGCCACTCTCCACCAGCCTTCCCCAGGCATTTAGCCTCTTCCAGCACAGGGACTCAGGCTCTTCTGATTGCCCACAAACCCTATCTCACCTTCTCCTAAGCTGCCAGGGCCTCCCAGTAGGAGCATCTTGCTGGCTGATTTGCTCTTACACATGGCTTCAGGGTAAGTGAGTCTTCACAAAGGGCCCCCAAACTTCTTACAGCTCCCTTCTATGCCAGCCTGCAGCAGTCGCTGCTTCTGGATCCTACTGGCATCTAATGGCTGTCCTCTGCTCAGGTCCAGTTCCTAAGACTTTTCAACACCTACCCACTTCATCTTTTCCATGAGGAATTTCCTGCTAACTTGAACTCACCTCATTACTACCTAATATGCACAAGCTTTATATAGTTGTGTAGTCTCTGAGTCTTTCAATTATGATTTCATCTGCCTGGAATCGACCCTTCATACTGGTTTCTTCCCATCCTTGCCCCTTATTTATCTCTTAAAAAAATTCAATTTGGACATTTCTTCTGCAAAGCCTTTGATGACTCCCTATGATAGGGGCATTCAAATATTGAATGCCTGGTGCCAGGGTGTGAGTTTTCAGAGGTCCATGATGAAATGAGCTAAAAAAATTCTCACAAAATTATATGTGATCAATTTAAAAGATTGTCCTTTACTCCAAAATCATAATGTATTATTTTTGAGTTATAACATTTTATGAAATGAGAGTGATAGTAGAAAAATTTTAAAAATGTTTTGATTTGGAATAATAAAAACTTGGCCACCTGTATCATTTTCCCAATTTGTTTTTGAAAAAATTTTGGTCAATGAAACATGAATCTGAAAAACACTCCCCTAAGGCTAGCGACCTATGTATACCACTACAATAACACTTACCATGCTATAATTATTGACTCATTTATTAGTGTTTCTGGACTGTGAATATGTGCATGATATTCACAATAGCATCCTCAGCCACCAGCACAATAAATACTCGTGAAGGAAATGTTATAAAAATGTTCCACATTTTATTGTACCAAGGATATTCATTTATTTTCCTCAGCAAGTGGTTCTTACTCTGAGTTTTGTGGTCCCATAGGCAGGTCTGTGGAAGAACTTTAGAAGGTCCAAGAACAGCCTAAAATTTCATGCAAATGTTTCATGTACAGCATATGACTGTTTGGTGGTGGTTGTGCTGGGGAGAGAATTTGTAACATTTTCAAAGTCATAACCCTCAAAGATTAGTGATCACACTGCAAGAATTATATCATTCACTATGGACTCATTTAGCATTTCCAGAATAACTGAGATATGCAAGATCCTCTACTGACTGTGGAGCTACAAACCTGAATTAAGTGAAGTCCTTCCCTTCAAATAACTCATTCACAGCTAGGCTGTCCCAATAGAGCAGGCAAATAAAAACTACTAGTGGTAAAGTCTATAATAAATATGTGGAGCTTCCCCATGGTGGTGGTAGTGAAGGCTACCCAGAGGAAGTGAGGTTTAAGTTGGGCCTTGAAAAATGAACAATTTATTATGCAGCAAATGAAAGAGATAGGAAAAGTATTCTAATTATTCAAATTAGAGTCAAAATAAAGCAAAAGCAAGAACAAAACTGCCAAGTGTGCACAGACACAAACATCTGTGTGATGCATATAGACATACATGCCTACAATTCTTTTTCTTTTTCCATTCCTAGTAGCATCTAACCTAGTGCTAGCTATACTGCACTAATTGTCCTAAACTTGAAATGCTACGGAATATGGATAAGCCATGCCATACTGTAATAGCAAATTCAAGCCATCAAAAAGAGTTTCAAATGTAAGGGCAACATAAAAACTTGTACTCCTCCAAACTAGTTGAAATTAAGAGATGTCATGGATTTATTTGAGGCCTGATTCTACAGATGGCAAGAATGAGCTATGTGCTTAGGAAGGCAAGGGAGCATCTAAAAGCATGAAGGCTGAATTGGTCCCCTAAGCTTGGTTTGTGTGAATCCTGCTTTGCACAGGTCTGCTAGCAGATGATCTGATGCCTTGGTGCAAATTAGAATTGGATGGCCCTTCCTCTGAGTGTATTCAGCATCATGCAGGGCACACAACTTGGGGAGTGAAAGCTGGATTCCAGCCCCCACTCACCTCCCAGGTGGGTACTTTGAATTCTCAAGTCCTAGAGATGCAACAGAGACAGAATAAATGACATATTTTACCAAATGTCAGGATATGTTGATCCAGTCTTGGAATGGTAAGTATTGAGAGAAGATCCCCCAAATCTTCTTCCTCATATTGAATAAAGTATGTGTGCAAAGTAATGAGCAGCAGCAGCTTAAGCCCCTGAAAGACATCTGTCTACTGTGGGCCTTTAAATCTTGCAACATTCTTGCAGGCACAATACATTGTGATAAGAATAAAGAGTTAAACTCTGCACATTTTAGGATAGGAGGCTCCAGAGAACAGTAATTCTAAAGAGAAAAAAGATCATTTTGTTTGTCCACTGGTTGGAAGGAAAATTTCAGGGTTAACAGCAGATTATGGATTTCCAATCAGAACAGCATTATACTGAATGAAAAATGGTGCTAGCTGTACTTGTAATGCTGATGTGTTTTTTCATAGCATTTCAACTATCTCTTTCTCTAATGAGTCTCAGTAAATACAGAGAACTTTAAAGCAGATATGACTTTGACTAATTCAATGTGTAAAACACACCGGTATATAATGTATATCATTTATATAAATATATAAAATCAAATTTAAAAAGTTACCTTGTGATCCAGCACCAGACAATTAAATAGGAAGAGTATAAGCCTCTTAAAAATATCTTCCTAACTTGTTTCATGTAGGTCTCTTCATTTTTTGTAGTGGGAATTTAACAACTCAGGGAAGATGGTACCTGAACACAAGCCATGAGATTGTCTCCAGAGGTCACCTGTCAACTGCTCCCAGTACCTCAAAGGACATAGGAGGCCTTTGGAGTATTCTCTATGATTCCAACATTAACATGCATGAGATTATTATATCTTCTATTTGCCTCCCCAAAAGACGCAAAGTTCCCAGCTTAGAGAATGAGAAGCATAAGTTAGCATATTTCAAAAGGAAAATAAAATGAGGATACATGAGTTCAGCATCTTCAGACAGACCACAAACTCCTAGAATGCAGTATCTTTTGCCTGTACCCAAACAGTAGATGCTCTGTTAGTATTTTCTGAATGACTGTCTTAAAAGAAGAGAGGAAAATCCCTGGAGAGCATGATGACTTATGTGGGTCCTAAAAACTTTTCCAGGTTCACTTAGAAGAAAATATTCACATTTTTCATATGTTAAATTTAATCTGTATTTTTCATGATTATTTCTTTTTCTATTTTTAAATGGGTCTTAAGTGACTTGGAGTTAAACATCTGAATGCTTGTTCTCAAATAGTTCTTTACTTAAGGTTGCACAATGCATTCACTACGTCTCTTGGCATTTCACCAGTGAATTGGTAATAGTGCCTACCTAATAAATGCTAAATGAATGACTGCAACAAATTCATACCCTAGAGAATGAACCAGATCCTGCTGAAGGGAGTTTTTATTAAGCTGTCACTATATCTTGGTTTTTAAGATTAGAGGGCCATCAAGAAAACACATTTTTCCATGTCTGTGAGCAGCAATCCACCTTTTGCACTCCCAGGTTTATGGCTAGTTCAATGCATCTAGTTCCTTTGACCCACAGAGGCACTACTGTTTGTGTACTATCCTTGGCCCACATAACAAAATGCTTCCCGCAAAATCAACAAGCTCAAAGACACACTAGATCCCACAGCCTTAGTTTTGGAATATCTTTATTCTGTTTTCTCACTTCTTTTTCGTTTTTCCTCGGATCTTCATTTCCACTTTTCAGTCTCAGTGGGTGAGCTGTTGGCAGCATTCTGAAATAAGCAGAAAACCTTTCTGATTCTCTGTGGGTAGCACAAGAGAACTGTTTTACTAGATGCAACCCACACTTAATTGCTGCCAAATTTGGGACCACAGACGTGGCCTTGATCATCCATAGGCATGAGTGATGGATAGCTACTCCAGCAGTCTGCTCAGCCATCCATCTCTGCAGGAAGATGACGGTGAAAGCTGAAGAGAGTGGAGCTGACATCAGCAGAAATGACCACAGGAGTCAGATGAAAAGGCAGTGGAGGAGGGGAACTGGTCTTTAATCTGCTCTCTGGGGCCTTTTGCAAATGAGGGCAATTCTAGTCACTTTGGTCCAGACACTTTGCAGATCTTTCAGTGGAAGAAAAAAAAAAAAGGCATATCTCCATGGGTAGGCAGGCATAAAAGTTGAGCAGAACCAGCAGGTCAAGACTATTTATCATCTAACTTTCTTCACCCTCTGAAAGATGGAAACTTAAGCTGATGCAAACTATACGCACCAATCCATCAGATGCTTGAGTCAGTTTTATGGATTGAAACATTATTATTGAACAAAGCTTCCACTGTGTCTACAGCAAAGCTGATGAAAGTGACACAGTGCCTACCCTCTGGGACATACAACCTTGATATAATTTTGCTTTGAGCATAAAGTTAAAATTAAAATGTGGGTAACAGTCCCAGGTAATTTTTGTGATTTATAAAAGGGTAACTTGGTTGACAACAGATTATGTAATTCTGTGGTGAGTGTAATTCTCTATAAGGGTGATAATGTAAAGCAAACAGGATCTTGTAGTGCTACTTATATCAGTTATTAACAGTAGAAATAGTATGAATATTACATTTTTAAAATATTTTTGCATTGGGTTGAATAGTGTCCCCCAAAATATTTGTCTACCTGGAAACTCCAAATTTAAACTTATCTGGAATAAGGGCCTTTGCAGATAAATTTAATGTAAGGATTTTGAGAGGAGATCATCCTGGATTAGGACAAGCCCTAAATCCCATGGCAGTGTCTTATAAGAGACAAAAAAGGAGAAGACACAGAGACACTGGTGAGTAGACCCTGTGAAGACAGAGGCAGAGATCAGAGTGATGTGCCTGCAAGCCACAGAGCACCAAGGGTTGCCGGCAGCCCCCAGGAACTGGGAAAAGTCTTGGCACATCCAGAAGAAACCAACACTGTTGCCATCTTCATTTCAGAATTCTTGCCTCCAGAACTGTGAGAGGAAGAAATTTCTGTTGTTTTAAGCCACCCAGTTTGTGATAAGTTGTTGTGGCAGTGCAAGGAAACTACTACAACTATGTATCATTATAATTTTATGATAGTCACTTCAGTTCAGATTTGTACCCAGCTTTTTGCCTAAGCTTCAGATCTCATGTATGCAGCTGCCTTCTTGATACTTCCGCTTAGTTGTGATACTAGTCAGGGTTTTCCAGAGAAACAGAATTCAACAGCTATTTGGTCAAAATATGAGAGGTTTCATATATGTGAGAGAAATCTCATAGATATGAGACATTAATTTTAATGGAATTCGCTCATGTAAAATGATACCTGGCAAGTTTGGAATCTATAGGGCAAGCCAGCAGGCTGGGGATACAGATAAGGGTTGATGTTGCACTGTTGCGGCTGAAGACTTGAAATTCAGGCAGAGTTTCACTGTTGCAGTCTGAGGGCTGAATACCTTCTTCATTGAGAAATCTCAATCTTTGCTCTTAAGACCTTCAGTTGATTGGATGAGCCCTCCCAGATAATTTGTTTTACTTAAAGCAACTCATTGTAAATGTGAATTACATCTTTTACAATTTTTTTACAGCAACATCTAGACTACTGTTTGACCAAAAAGCAGATCACCATAGTCTAACTAAGCTGACACATAAAATTATCCATCACAGTGGTCTAACATACACCTCAAACTTAAGAGAGCCCCTAACTAGTCCTCCAAAACAATAGCTTTTCCTCAGAATTTTCTATTATCTGTTAGTCAAGCTGAAAAAATATCCAAGTCATCTTAGACTGCTTTTTCCCCCAATATAATAAATACTCAAACTATCAGCAAGTCCTGCTACATGCAATATAGCAGAGATCTAACCTGTGTTCACTGCCTTCTTGGCTACTACCTTAGCCAAATCTTCTCCCACCTGGATTCCTACAATAGCCTCCTAACATTCCATGTCTACTCCTGTGTTGCTAATGATCCATTTCATTCATATGTATACATATATATTTTTTTCCTCACACTGCTATAAAGAAATACCTGAGACAAGGTAATTTATAAAGAAATTTATTTCTCACAGATCTGGAGACTGAGAAATCTAAGATCAAAATCCTAACCAATTAACTTCCTGATGAGGGTTCTCTTCGTGGCTTGTAGATGGCTGCATTTCTTGCAGTGTCTTCATAGGATAGGGACATAGAAAGGTTGATTTTCTTTCCTTCTCTCTCTTTCTTTCTTTTTTTTTTTTTTTTGACAGTTTCACTCTTGTCACTCAGGCTAGAGTGCAATGGTGCGGTCTCAGCTCACTGCAAACTCCAACTCCCAGGTTCAAGCAATTCTCCTGCCTCAGCCTCCTGAGTAGCTGAGATTATAGGCACCCACCACCATGCCCAGATAATTTTTGTATTTTTAGTAAAGACGGGGTTTTGCCATTTTGGCCAGTCTGGTCTCGAACTCCTGACCTCAGGTGATCCGCCTGCCTCAGCCTCCCAAAATGCTGGCGTTACAGGCGTGAGCCACCGTGCCCGGCCAAGATTGATTTTTTTTATAAAGCCACCAATCCCATTGGATTAGGACCCCACACTTATGACTCCATTTAACCTTAATTCTCTCTCTCTTTTTTTTTTTTTTTTTTTTTTGAGACAGGGTCTCGCTCTGTCACCCAGGCTGTAGTACAGTGGTGCAATCTTGGCTCACTGCAACCTCTGCCTCCAGATTCAAACAATTCTCCCCCCTCAGCCTCCAAAGTAGCTTGGATTACAGGTGTGAGCCACCATGCCTGGCTGATTTTTTTCTATTTTTAGTAGAGACGAGGTTTCACGATGTTGGCTACGGCTGGTCTCAAACTCCTGACCTCCCAAAGTGCTAGGAATACAGGCATGAGCCACGGCACCCAGCCTAACCTTAATTATCTCTTAAAAGTTCATCTCCAAACACAGTCACATTGTGGGTTAGGCCATCTACGTATGAATCGGGGATACAGGAGCACAATTCAGTCTCTAGCAGGAGGCAGTAATTTATGCTGCCTTTCCCCTTGAAACAGTTGCTGATTTGTGGCACGTGTTCAGAAGCCAAGTTAAAAGCAGTGGCTTGGAGCATTCAGCAGCCTCATGGAACTTCAGAGACAAAAAAGTGTATTTCAGGGTTAGTAAGGCCTGAAATTTATTCAGACCTTACTATTAACTCCACAAATAAGAGGTATAAGTCTTCAAGAAAAGGAAACTTCAGAAATGTGAGCTCAACATTCTATGCTACTTTTTTCCTCAACATATCTGCCAGTTCTTAAATTGCAGTGGTTGAGAGGTTTAGAAACACCAACAATGAAGTACAAATTAAGGCTCAATTCAGTGGCTCCTGTCTGTAACCCCAATACTTTGGGAGGCAAAGGTGAAAGGACCGCTTGAGGCCAGAAGTTTGAGACCAGCGTGGCCAACATGGAGAGGCCTGGTCTCAACAGAAATTTTAAAAATTAGCTGGGTGTGGTGGCATATGCCTGTAATCCTAGCTAGTTGAAAGGCAAAGCAGGAGGCTCTCTTGAGCCCGGGAATTTGAGGTCACGGTGAACAGTGTGCCACTGCACTCCAGCCTGGGTAACAGAGCAAGACCTTCTTAGAAAAAGGAAAAAAAGATACACATTAAGAGTAAAAATCTGAGCAGAACTTTTGACAATTTCACAATGCTAAGAAGATAGAAGTTTGATTTCAGGGCCTGCCAAGGTGGGGGATTCATGTTAAACTTTCCAGGCTTTTAGCTGAAACCTCTAAAAAGATATGACCTGGAAGTAAAAACAAACAAGAAATAGATCAGCTCTGTGAAGACTGAACCCAGTCAAATTATCTCACCCCTCATTGGATCAAGTTGGCTCCTTCTCCAAAGTCCTGCCAGAAGAAAATTAAAAGATCACATAATACAGAACTGTTATATTTTTCATATATAATTTCTGGCATCCCAACACAAAATGCCAGGTTGTTAGTATACGGGGCCAAATGCTAAAAACAGAAAATAATAGATAATAACCCACCACAGGAGATCCAGATATTGACATTATCTGATGTAAATTTTTAAATAACTATAATTAATATATTCAAGAAAATAGATGGCAAAATGGAGAATTTCATCAAAGAACTGTAATCAAACAAAAGAATCCGATGGGAATTTTAGATACAAAAAAATTGAAGAAATAATCAATAGGTGGATCTAGCAGCGGATTAGAAACAGTAGAAGAGATTAGTGAATTGGAAGATAAGTTAGCCCAAAATATCTAAAATGAAGCACAAAGAATAAAAAGGGTAGAATACACAGAAAAGAGCATACAAAAAATATAGGACATGGTGAGAAAGTCTAACATGTTGGAGTTACAAAAGAGAGAAGAAAGGGAATGGAACATAGCCAACATTTGAAAAGATGTTGACTAAGAATTTTCCAAAACAGATGCAAAGTCACTTAGGATCAGATGCAAGAATCTCTACAAACGTTAAGGAGGGTAAATTCAAAGATATGTATAACTAGACACACCGTAATAAACTGCTAAAGAATGAAAAAGGAAGAGAAAAATCTTAATACTCAACAGTGGAGTTTTCAATAGAAGAGGCAGATATCAGGGCAATAGCGTCTTAAAATTCTAAAAGAAATAACTAACTAACCTAAAAGTCAAAGGAATGTGAAAATGAATATAAAATGAAATGCTTCAAAAGTACATGTGAAATACAGATGGTTTCAGACAGACAGAGAGAATTTGTTACCAATAGCCCAAACTAAAAGAAAAATTGAAAGGATTTATTTAGTTAGAGAGAGAATTCCAGAAGGCAGCATAAAATGGGGCAGGAAAAAAACGAAGAGTAATGGAAAGGAAAAATAGGTAAGTCTAAATGAATATTGACCACATAATACAGTAATAATAATATCTATAATTTTACATAAATGATATATGCTCTTAATAACATGGACTCAAAATATATAATGACTGTTTGTCTTTTCATCACTCATTTCTCCTCTCAAATATTACCTACTTAGAGGCCTTCCCTGGCTACCCTATGAAAATACTCTCTGACCTCTTGCTCTACAGTCACTCTCTATACCAACAGAGGATTCCGATTCTCACCTTCAACCCAGGAATCCTCACTTTCCTTCCTTCAGAACTTCTTTCTCTAATTCTTTGATGGCTTCATTAGGTAACTCATTGCATGTGATGCTGTGTTAGTCACTGCGTTTAACAAGTGACATAAGCCCCTGACCATAGGAGTCTGCAACATGGAATGAACAATGGCATCTGAGACTTATTTAAAAATCCAATAAATACTTATATACTAAATTATATAGTTAAATACTTAATTTTAAAGCAAAATATGTAGTTAATGGAAGTAACAAGATTGCAAAAATCAGGAAAATTAACACCATGACAGAGCGTGCAACACCAAGATGATCAGAATATGAATCTTTTTATTCCTGCATTGAATTCTCTTAACGTGAGTTCTGCCTCAAATCTAAAGTCCAAGAGTCCTAAAGTATAGCAGTCAATTCTTATTCTACTATTGGCCCATAAGTCCAGCAAAAACACATTATTGAGACAGATTCTACACTATTATTAATTTTCAGTAAACTTTGAAGCTCTTTTTCTCGTTGAGTCTTTAGAATTTAATGCAATCATTAATATTGCACCTTATTATTTATAATACATTTTTACATTTTCTGACCTCCCTGGATCAAAAAACTACCCTCAGAGGGGCACTTGGTGAGTTTTGTAGTGTGAATGAGAAAACTGAGATTCAGAGAGGTTAAGGGACATGCTCAAGGTTGAATAGCATGTAAATATCAGATTTGGGACTTTTTTTATCATCTACTCTGTTTTTAGATTATAATCTCTAACACTTACATATTATATTCCAATGTATATAATGTGTTTATAAATATATGTGTGCACATATATTACAGTTGATATTCAGGTTCTTTGACATACAGTGGCAAATAAACCACCTAAATAAGCTGGCAATCTTGGAAGGTTTGAGATATGAAAAGAGAACCCCTTTCATTTGCTGACCCTTTGAGAAAGCTGCTGGGCATTCTCTCACTTGAGTCAAGTGCCATTTTGGACAATAATACTCCTAACATTAGTCTAAAGTGGTGGCCTTCAGCTGTGGATGGTTTTGCCCTCTCCCCAGGGGTTATTTGGCAATATCTTTGGACATCTGTGGTTGCTATAATGGGAAGAGGGATGCTACTGGTAGCTACTGGGTAGATACCAGGGGTGCTGTTAAACATCCTACAATGCGAGACAGCTTCCCAGAACAAAGAATTATTCAACCCAAAATGTCAATACTGCTGAGGTTACAAGACCCTAATCTAAAGTAGTTAAGGTCTCTTGAGGGGTAGGAGTACCTCACTTTCCCTGCCAAACCACCGCTACCGCACCCTGGTTCCATTTAACCAAGTAGACACTCCAATTTGCTAAAGCTCCCAAACAAGCCTGAACTTAGTGAAATTAAATCCATACTTCAGTGATAAAACCATGAAGAAAGCAGAAAGGAAATTTCCATAAAAGTCAGGATGGCAATTATGTTTAGGAAGGAGGGGAGGGGTTATGATTAAAAAGGTGAGTGCAGAAGACACCCACGGTGGCCGGCAATACTGTATTTCTTGACTTGAGTGCTGGTTACTCTGAGATTCACTTTGTGATAATTTGTTAAACTTTTCTTTATAGTTTATGCACTTTTCTTGATGTGAGTTGTATTTTACAATAATAAAAGGTTTTCAGAAAAACACACTTCAGTGATTATCCTAGTTATTTCCTGAAATAACTAGGATAAAGAAATATTACTGCCATGAGTAAGCCAACTGTATTTATATTGAATAACAAAGAATCAGAAAATGGTAGAAGCCAAGTACTTAAACTAGAAATCCTGGTACAACTTTAAGCTCATCTTTCTTCTAGGTTCCCAGATCTGGTTATTTACTGAACTCTATATATGCATGTAGGCGTGCATGCATGCACACACACACAGACACACACACACACAAACTTGAATACTAAATTATTAATAGAGATTGCAAAGTAACTGTCGAAGAGGCCAAATCCCCAATGGCTAATGATCAGTGCATTACTTCCTAAAGCCTAGTGATTCCCAGCCAGAGGAGGTGAGAGCAGGTCCAGCTGGAACGGATATAGCAAAATAACCTGTAAAGCATTAGTGTTTCTCTTTTTTTAAGTTCTGGGATACATGTGCAGAACGTGCAGGTTTGTTACTTAGGTATACACGTGCCATGGTGGTTTGCTGCACCCATCAACCCGTCATCTACATTAGGTATTTCTCCTAATGCTATCCCTCCCCTTGCCCCCCACCCACTGACTGGCCCTGGTGTGTGATGTTCCCCTCCCTGTGTCCATGTGTTCTCATTGTTCAACTCCCACTTATGAGTGAGAACATGTAGTGTTTGGTTTTCTGTTCCTGTGTTACTTTGCTGAGAATGATGGTTTCCAGCTTCATCCATGTCCCTGCAAAGGACATGATCTCATTCTTTTTTATGGCTGCATAGCATTCCAAGGTGTATATGTGCCACATATTCTTTATCCAGTCTGTCACTGATGGGCATTTGGGTTGGTTCCAAGTCTTTGCTATTGTGAATAGCGCTGCAGAAACATATGTGTGCATGTGTCTTTATAGTAGAATAATTTATAATCCTTTGGGTATATACCCAGTAATGGGATTGCTGGGTCAAATGGTATTTCTAGTTCTAGATCCATGAGGCATCGCCACACTGTCTTCCACAATTGTTGAACTAATTTACACTCCCACCAACAGCGTAAAAGTGTTCCTATTTCTCCACATCCTCTCCAGCATCTGTTGCTTTGTGACTTTTTAATGATCACCATTCTAACTGGTGTGAGATGGTATCTCATTGTGGTTTTGATTTGCATTTCTCTAATGACCAGTGATGATAAGCTTTTTTTCATATGCTTGTTGCCTGCATAAATGTCTTCTTTTGAGAAGTGTCTGTTCATATCCTTCCCCCACTATTTGATGGGGTTGTTTTTTTCTTGTAAATTCCTTTAAGTTCCTTGTAAATTCTGGATATGAGTCCTGAGCCCTTTGTCAGATGGATAGATTGCAAAATTTTTCTCCCATTCTGTAGGTTGCCCATTCACTCTTATGATAGTTTCTTTTGCTGTGCAGAAGCTCTTTAGTTTAATTAGATCCTGTTTGTCAATTTTGGCTATTGTTGCAGTTGCTTTTGGTGTTTTAGTCATGAAGTCTTTGCCCATGCTTATGTCCTGAATGGTATTGCCTAGGCTTTCTTCCAGGGTTTTTATGGTTTTAGGTCTTACATTTAAATCTTTAATCCATCTTGAGTTAATTTTTGTATAAGGTGTAAGGAAGGCGTCTGGTTTCAGTTTTTTGCATATGGCTAGTCGGTTTTCCCAACACCATTTATTAAATAGGGAATCCTTTCCCCATTGCTTGTTTTTGTCAGGTTTGTCAAATATCAGATGGTTGTAGATGTGTGGTGTTATTTCTGAGGCCTCTGTTATGTTCCATTGGTCTATATACTATTTTGGTACCAGTACCATGCTGTTTTGGTTACTGTAGCCTTGTATTATAGTTTGAAGTCAGGTAGTGTGATGTCTCCAGCTTTGTTCTTTTTGCTTAGGATTGTCTTGGCTATACAAGCTCTTTTTTGGTTCCATATGACATCTAAAGTAGTTTTTTTCTAATTTTGTGAAGAAAGTCAGTGGTAGCTTGATGGGAATGGCACTGAATCTGTAAATTACTTTGGGCAGTATGGCCATTTTCATGATATTGATTCTTCATATCCATGAGCATGGAATCTTTTTCCATTTGTTTGTGTCCTCTCTTATTTCCTTGAGCAGTGGTTTGTAGTTCTCCTTGAAGAGGTCCTTCACATCCCTTGTAAGTTGTATTTCTAGGTATTTTATTCTCTTTGTAGCAGTTGTGAATGGGAGTTCACATATGATTTGGCTTTTTGTTTGTCTATTATTGGTGTATAGAAATGCCTGTGATTTTTGCACATTGATTTTTGTATCCTGAGACTTTACTGAAGTTGCTTATCAGCTTAAGGAATTTTTGGGCTGAGATGATGGGGTTTTCTAAATGTACAATCATGTCATCTGCAAACAGCAATAATTTGACTCCCTCTCTTCCTATTTGAATACCCTTAATTTCTTTCTCTTGCCTGATTGCTCTGGCCAGAACTTCCAATACTATGTTGAATAGGAGTGGTTAGAGAGGGTGTCGCTGTGTTGTGCTGGTTTTCAAAGGGAATGCTTCCAGCTTTTGTCCATTCAGTATGATATTGGCTGTGGGTTTGTCATAAATAGCTCTTACTATTTTGAGATATGTTCCATCAATACCTAGTTTATTGACAGTTTTTAGCATGAAGAGGTGTTGAATTTTATCAAAGGACTTTTCTGCATCTATTGAGATAATTATGTGGTTTTTGTCATTGGTTCTGTTTATGTGATGAATTATGTTTATTGATTTGTATATGTTGAACCAGCCTTGCATCCCAGGGATGAGGCTGACTTGATTGTGGTGGATAAGCTTTTTAATGTGCTCCTGAATTCGGTTTACTAGTATTTTATAGAGGATTTTCGCACTGATGTTCATCAGGGATATTGGCCTGAAATTTTCTTTTTTTGTTGTGTCTCTGCCAGGTTTTGGTATCAGGATGATGCTGGCCTCATAAAATGGGTTAGGGAGGAGTCCTTCTTTTTCTATTGTTTGGAATAGCTTCAGAAGGAATGGTACCAGCTCCTCTTTGTACCTCTGGTAGAATTTGGCTGTGAATCCGTCTGGTCCTGGGCTTTTATTGATTTGTTAGGCTATTAATTACTGCCTCAATTTCCAAACTTTTTATTGGTGTATTCAGGGATTCAACTTCTTCCTGGTTTAGTCTTGGGAGGGTGTATGTTTCCAGGAATTTATCCATTTCTTCCAGATTTTCTAGTTTATTTGCATAGAGGTGTTTATAGTATTCTGATGGTAGTTTGTATTTCTGTGGGATCAGTGGTGATGTCCCCTTTATCATTTTTTATTGTGTCTATTTGATTCTTCTCTCTTTTCTTCGTTATTAGTCTTGCTAGCTGTCTATCTATTTTGTTAATCTTTTCCAAAAACCAGCTCCTGGATTCAATGATTTTTTGAAGGGTTTATCATGTCTCTATCTTCTTCAGTTCTGCTCTGATCTTAGTTATTTCTTGTCTTCTGCTAGTGTTTGAATTTGTTTGCTCTTGCTTCTCTAGTTCTTTTAATTGTGATGTTAGGGTGTCGATTTTAGATCTTTCCCACTTTCTCCTGTGGGAATTTAGTGCTCTAAATTTCCCTCTAAACACTGCTTTAGCTGTGTCCCAACTTCTGGTATGTTGTGTCGTGGTTCTCATTGGTTTCAAAGAACTTCTTTATTTCTGCCTTAATTTCGTTATTTACCCAGTAGTCATTCAGGAGCAGGTTGTTCAGTTTCCATGTAGTTGTGCAATTTTGAGTGAGCTTCTTAATCCTGAGCTCAAATTTGATTGCACTGTGGTCTGAGAGACTGTTTGTTATAATTTTCGTTCTTTTGCATTTGCCGAGGAGTGTTGTGAAGACCGTGGGAAAAGCGTGATACCTAGGCTGGAGTGCACCACACCGTTCCTCACAGCACAGTCCCTTGCGGCTTCCCTTGGCTAGGAGAGGGAGTTCCACGGCCCCTTGCACTTCCTGGGTGAGGCAACACCCCCACCGCCCACCCAACTTCTGCTCACCCTCCGTGGGCTGCATCCACTGGCTAACCAGTCCTGATGAAATGAACTGGCTACCTGAGTAAGAAATGCAGAAATCACTCACCTTCTGCATTGGTCTCACTGGGAGCTGCAGACCGGAGCTGTTCCTATTCTGCTATCTTCGCCAAATCTTTTTCCCTTGCCATATTTTTTGTTGTGCCCCAGGACACCATCCCAGAGGCCGACACTGTTAAGTCTTTTGGGTGTTTAATATTTACCCTAATATTTCTACATAACATGCTGATATTGTAGACATTATCTCCTTAATTTCTTGTTAGGTAGATGAAAGTTTTCTGAACTTTTCTATGATAGATTTGTAACATTTTTGTTAAAATCCATAGGCCACATTTATATTAATATGAAATGTGAATATTCTTCATTCTTGAGCCAAGGAGTAAACTTTAATGATGACATTTTCTAGTTCAACTTTTGTTTTTCCCTGAGTAAATATCACATTATTTTTCATTTGCTTAATTTTCTACAAATCCAATGCTTATTTATTTTTTCCAGGTGGTTCAATATATCTATCTGATGTCTATTAATATTGTCTCAAAGTATTGAAATGGATACGGTATTGCTTCCATTATTTCCTCTTGGAGACTTCACTCTTACAGCCTCTTCTCTCTTCTGCTTTCTGGCATTGCCACAGAGCTATTGCTTGGAACTGTTCCATATTCTGGAAAAATTCTGATATTCTTCTTGTATGTTTGAATTTGATTTACTTCCTCACTTTGCTGGAACACATGCTCCAGCATCTAAGAAAATCCTGCCACATGTAAAAATGTCTTAAGTTTGCTCTCAGACATGACTGGTTAGAAAATTCTGATTTGGAAATCATTTCCCTTCAGAATTTTGAAAGCGACATTTTGTCTATTAGCTTCCTGTGTTGCTGTTAGGAAGGCTGATGCAGTGTTGATTCCTGATTTTTTTTTTACGTTGTCTTTTTTTTCTTTCTCTCTCAACACTTTCGTTTGTTTGTTTGAGACGCATTCTTGCTCTATTGCCCAGGCTGGAGTGCAGTGGCACAATCTCAGCTCACTGCAACCTCCACCTCCCAGATTCAAGTGATTCTCCTGCCTCAGACTCCTGAGTAGTTGGGATTACAGGCACACACCACCACACCCAGCTAATTTTTGTATTTTTAGAAGAGACAGGGTTTCACCACGTTGGCCAGGCTGGTCTCCAACGCCTGACCTCAAGTGATCCACCCACCTCAGTCTCCCAAAGGGCTGGGATTACAGGTGTGAGCCACCACACCTGGCCTAACACTTTTAATATTACTTATTTATCTCTAGGATTCTAAAATTTCATGGTGATGGGTCTAGGTTAGGATTTATTTTCCGTTTTTTGTGTTGGTGAATTTTGCATTGAAGAATTGGTGGGCCCTTCCATTTTATAATAGAAACTCATGTTTAACAGTTTTAGGAAAAATGTTACTTTATTAATTTGACAGCCTTCCCTCCTCCATGTTTTTTATTATAGTTATTTTGTCCCTCCTCAATGTAACACATTACTAATTTTCTAATAATTATTCTCTCATATTTGCTGTCTTCTAACCCTTCTAATGCATTTCTCAGTGTAGCTATTTAATTTTCAATTTTCAATAATTTTTTCTGTTATACGGGAGTTTTATTTCATGAGTGGAATATTTTCTTACCTCTCCGAGAACATTAACTTTTCTTTTTCTCCTTGTCTTGATAGACATTTCAAAATTTCCTTGTTCTGTTTTTTGCCTTTTCATTTTCAAGGAATTAGTCAATATCCATTCACTCATAATTAAAAGGCAAAACTACTATTGTACCTGATTGGAAGCTCTGTCTGCATGAGTGAGTCATATCAGCTTCACTGTACGGTGACAAGGCAGCAACCTGGCTGTCTCATGTCAGTATCTGGAAGCTCTGTCTTTGTGGCATTTCAGGCTCTCCAAACAAAAAACAAAAACAAACAAACAAAAAAACGAATCTAGGAATTGAAGGGGGTGGGGCGAAGAGCAGAACTTCTGACTATAGGGGTTCTGGAAATAGAACTGGAGAACAGGGTGGCAAGGTGGGGTATTCTACCATTGATTGTGTAGAATTTGAACACTCCTCATCTTCAGCTCCCAGTTTTACTCATTTCCGTACCTCAAGTCTGAAGCTTTTCTGGCTGGATTTGTTTGGTGACTAAACTTCCCATTTTTCTTAGGATGGTGAAAAGAAATTGTGACTTCATTTTGTAGGGAAGGAGTGGGGATCCAGGACTCCTCTGTGTATAGGCTTTCAACCGACATTGATTCTTTTCATCCAAGTCTCACCTGTACTTCCCACATGACTTGGTGTCCCCTAGGTCTATTCTGCTAGGCAAGTTGTTGTTGGGTGTTTTTACCCTGTTTTTGCAGTATATACAAGCATACCTCGGAGATATTGTGAGGTAAACTCTAGATCACCAGCATGAAATAAATATTCCAATAAGGCAAGTCATACAAACTTTTTGATTTCCCAGTGCATATAAAAGTTTTGTTTATGCTATACTGCAGTCTATTAGGTATGCAAGAGCATTGTGTCTAAAATGATGTACATGTCTTAATTTAAAAATACTTTATTACTTAAAAATACTGATAATCTGAGCCTTTTGTGAGTTGTAAGCTTTTTGCAGGTGGAGAGTGTTGCCTTGATGTTGATGGTGCTGAATGACCATGGTGGTGGTTGTTGAAGGTTGAGGTGGCCGTGGCAATTTTTTAAAACAAGACAATGAAGTTTGCCACGTTAATGTATTCTTTCTTTCATGAAAGATTTCTCTGTAGTATGTGTAGCTGTTTAATAGCATTTTATCCACAGTCAAACGTCTTTGAAAGTTGGAGTCAATCCTCTCAAACCCTGCTGTTGCTTTATCAATTAAGTTTATGTAGTATTCTAAATCCATTGATGTTATTTCAACAATATTCACAGAATCTTTACAGGTGAGATTCCATCTCAAGAAACCACTTTCTTTGCTCATTAATAAGAGGCAACTCCTCATGCATTCAAGGTTTATCATAAGATTACAGCAATTCGGTCACATCTCCAGGCTCTACTTCCCGTTCTAGTTATCTTGCTTTTTCTACCACATCTGTAGTTACTTCCTCCACTGGAGCCTTGAGTCCCTCCAAGTCAACCATGAGGATTGGAATCAATTTCTTCCAAACTCCTGTTGATACTATGACCTCCTCTCATGAATCATGAATGTTCTTAATGACATCTAGAATGGTGAATCCTTTCCAGAAAGTTTTCAATTTACTTTTCCCAAATCTGTCACACAAATCACTACCTATGGCCGCTGTAGTCTTATGAAATGTATTTCTTAAATTATAAGGCTTGAAATTGGAAATTATTCTTTGATCCATGGGCTGCAGAATAGACATTGTATTAGCAGGCATAAAAACATTAATCTTCTTGTACATCTCCATTAAAGCTCTTGGGATACTAAGTGCATTGTGAATAAGCAATAATAATTTGAAAGGAATGTTTTTTTCTGAGCAATAGGTCTCAATAATGGGCTTAACATATTCAGCAAACTATGCTGTAAAAACAGATGTTCTGTCATCCAGACTTCATAGTTCTAGTTATAGAGCTCAGGCAGAATAAATTTAGCATACTTCTTAAGGGCCCTGGGATTTTTCGGAATGGGAAAAATCACTGGCTAACTTAAAGTCACCAGTTGTATTAGCCTAAGAAGAGTCAACATGTCCTTTGAAGCTTTGAAGTCAGATGTTGACTTTTCCTCTCTAGCTATGTAAGTCCTAGATGGCATCTTCCTCCAGTAGAAGGCTGTTTTGTCTACATTGAACATGTTTAGTGTAGCCACTTTCATCAATGATCTGAGTTAGATCTTCCAGATAACTTGCTGCACTTTTCCATCAGCACTTGCTTATTCACCTTGCACTTTTATGTTATAGAGATGACTCCTTTCCTTAAACCTCTTGAACAAACCTCTGCTATCAAACTTTTCTTCTGCAGCTTCCTTACCTCTTGCAGCCTTCATAGGATTGAGAAGAGTTAGGGCCTTGCTCTGGCTTAGGCTTTGACTTAAGAAAATGTTGTGGCTGGTTTGATCTTCTATCCAGATCACTCAAATTTTCTCCTTATTAGCAATAAGGCTATTTTACTTTTTTTTTTAATCATTCATGTATGTATTTGCAGGAGAAGGACTTTTAATTTCTTTCAGTTTTCCTTTGCATTCACAGCTTGGCTAACTGTTTGGAGCAACAACCCTCGCTTTCAACCTGTCTCAGCCTTCAACACATCTTCCTAAAATTAATTATTTCTAGCTTTTGCTGTACAATGAGAGACTAGTGACTCTTCCTTTCACTTAAGCATGTAGAGGCCATTATAGGGTTATTAATTTGACTAATTTTAATATTGTTGTGTCTCAGAGAAGAGGGAGGCCTGAAGAGTAGGAGAGAGATGGGGAACAGCCAGTCTGTGGAGCACTCAAGAAAACACACATGTACTGATTATGTTTGCCATTGTATACAGGTGCAGTTCACCATGCCCCAAAACAATTACAGTAGTAACATCAAAGATGACTGATCACTGATCACCATAACAGATATAATAATAATGAAAAGTTTGAAATAAGGAGAGATTTACCAAAATATGACACAGAGACACAAAGTGAGCACATGCTATTGGGAAAATGACACCAATTAGACTTGCTTAACAGTTGCCACAAACTTTCAATTTTCAAAAAGCACAAATTTGTGAAGTGCAATGAAGTGAAGCACAATAAACAACATATGTCTGCACAGATTTTACCTCTCTTAAGATGCTAATCACAGATTTTTAGGTTTCCGTTTAATCCCTGCATGCACTTTAGGTTCTTGCCTCTTTCTGTCTTTTAAAAAATCTCTTTTCTTTACTGTGTTGTCTGCCATTCTCTTGGTCCTGGTGGCTATATACCTTCTTAAAATACCATTACTGTCACGTTAGATCTGTTCTACAAAGAAGAAAAAATAAGTGTTTAGTCAATCCATCATTTCCCCATCATTTCATTCTTCTTTTAAATTATATCTGTGAACTGTCGAGAGGTAACTTGGTTTAACAGAAATATCCTGAACTTGGGCTTAAACCTACCTGTTTTAAATTCCTGCTTTGTAAGTTAGTGAGTGTGTGATGTTCTGCCTGTCACTCAGCTGTCCTGCTGCGTCCAGCAGAGATGCCTAGTAAAAGCATTGACTGAAAAGCATCTATTGCATTGAGTAATTAGAAGGTCAGCGGTGACCTTCACCAGAGTAGTTTCCATAGAGTGATAAGGGCAGAAGCCAGGCTGCACTGGGATTTGTTCATTAATTATGCTTCTGTCACTGACTGTTGTGCCAGTCTCCTCCAGCGCAGTTTCTAGGAAAGCTGTGAGTTACCTGCACCTTTTGGTCTCTGCCTACTTTACCAGATGCTTTAGTGCTTCAAATATGCTGCCACATGTATGCATGCTTGTCCTTCAAGGCTCATATAAGCCAGCTGTTGCAACAAGCTTCAAAATGCTTCCTGCAAACTGGCAGGAGTTGGAATGCCCTCAGAGTTGCAAAGGGACCAAGTACAAGCAGTGTAGCAGGAAAATTGCTTTGGGAAGACAATAGGGGAGAGAAGGTCTGAGGAAGGAGTAGCTCAGTACAGAAAAAAGAAAAAAGGACTTTTGCCAGTAATATTAGTGAGAGGAGGATAATAGAGAACTGGGAGAAAAAATATGGCAGCAAGAGCAAAGAGGAAAAGCCTCTGTTAGTCTTCCTTGCATGCTACCCTGCCAAACATGACCTAATTAGCCTGGATCTTCTAACATAACTCCAGCCCAAAGCAGAGAAGATGATGGCTACAGATGTGATGGATGGAAGGCAGAAAATGAATAAAGTGAATAGTTTTAGATTACTTGTAACTCTTCCTAGACAGACATGTGTTCTGGCCTTCAAGGGAAAAATTCTATAAGGGACCATTTCAGGAAAGCTTAGATTGCTAAGTTTTATAAACAGCCCCAAAGCTCCTTTTTGGGGCCCTAAGTTCTAGTCAGTGTTTTGTTACCTCAATTGCAATGTTGTTTGTTTGTTTGGTGGTTTTACTACACAACCCATTTTCATAAACTGTTGCCCAGCTGCATACACTGGTGGAAAACTAGCTGAAGCAAAAATGCTGTTATTTATTCTGTTCAGAAACAAATTTAAAATTCTGTAGACTAGGGAATATTAAAATGAGAAGCTAAAAAATACTTTTTAGTACAGAAGTTCAATGCCAATTTTGGGATCTTTGTACCTGAGGAATAATTCTTACGAATCTTGTTTTAATAGAGCAAGGACTCATATATAATGTTATCTAATTGAAGTTTATTCTACTGACTTTAAAACTAATTCTTAATATTGCTTATACAATTCTCCTAGAAAGTGCTCATTTTAATCATCAGTCAGCATTTTATTATATTATAATCCTTAATTGATTGATGTTTAATCACAGTCTTTGTATTTTACTATCCCTTGTCTCATAAGAGGCAATTTTCTCTTTACTGTAGTTTAACAGCTGATGAAAAAGATTTAAGGAAACCTATAAACTTAAGATTGGTTAATGGTCCCTTATAAAAGAATATTACACTTCTAGGATCCATTGCACAGATGTGATACTCAATTGTAGAAATGTGCATGGGGTTTATTAAATTACAGCACAAATCTTCAGTCTTCTGAGTTATTGTCCATGTTGGTATTGTTAGGCAAATGGGGAGACACATTATTGCTTCCAGTTGTTCACATTACTGTGGTGTAATGCAGTCAGAGACAGCTGGCACATCGCTGTAGGCAAACGCAGAGCTGCAGCAGCTGCCGAGAACTGGGCCCCAAGTGAAGGTCCAGCTCCGCTGAGTCAGTGCTGGGTGGCTCATCAAAGGTGTCCAGAACATGGAAAATAAATAAATGAACCAAGCTGGCTATCGGAGCAGGAGGGAGGGGCATGAGAGGGAGAGAGTAAGGGAAAGAGAGAGAGAGACACAAAGAGAGACAGAGAGAGAGAGATTGCCTTATACATATATAGATCTACTTTTCTATTGTCTTATTTCTTGGACACACTGAGAACCTTTGCAAAATTGGTTGCTTAAAAACAGACTCTAGACTTCTTTATTGGACAGCGCTTGGTTCCATTTGGTGATATTTCTCACCCAAGTTAAGGTGCTGTTGTGTTTTGTTTTGCTTTGTTTTTGTTTGTTTTTTGGTACTTGTGGTACTGCTATAATTCAGTATAAGGGAAAATAACATGAAAGTAGAAATTCGTGGACTTGGGGATCTGAAAAGATAAAAATTCCCTCCTAACCAGTAATAATCTCTGTAGTATTAGAAGACATGTATATAACTTCCCAGTGCCTCACTTTTCTCATCTGTATGTGGGGACAATGATATTTATCCTACAGAGAACAGAGTTAATGGATGTAAGTGCTTAGCACAGTGTATGGGATCCAATAAGTGAACAGTAACTGATAGTTCCTTCATTATTGTTCTATTTGTGACTTTTGATAATAAAACTAAGGTTCATAACAGTTTGAATAGAGACTTGAGTGAAGCATTCTCCTGTCCACATCATTAAAAATTGTATCTCAAAGATGAGCACAGGGCAAAAGCTCACATTCTTGAGTCACACATGGCTTTAAATGTGTCAAGTGTAAATCTTCTCCAAGCCTTAGTTTTCTCATCTGTAGAATGGGACTAATAATGTTACTTATCTAAAAAGATTGCTCTGAAAATTAAACTAGTCCATGTAAGTACATCATTTAGCACAGTTTCTATAAAAAAAAAGCATTTAATAAATGTTAGCCACTCTTCTTAGAGTAAAAGTCTGTTTATGAACTCAATTCCTAAAAGTAACAAGTCTAAACTTTGCTTTTCTATGCCTCTCCTTTATAAAATTTTTATTATATTTTTCAAGGCTTACATGTGTTTAAAATCTCCTTTCTATATATCCAAGGCTTAGGCTATTCTTTAGTTGGGCCTGAAAATTTTAGCTAATTTTAGAAAAAAAATGCAAATATTGTTATCTGATAAATATTTATCCATCCAATATTTATTAACTGAATGACTCCTATATTCCAGAAACAGTGTTGAGGTCTCAGGATACAACAACGAATATGATAAAATCCTTCACTCAAAGATTGTATGGTTTGGTAGCAGGCAGATATCCAAGTAAATAAATTAATGCTGCACATGTCATTGCTGTGGAAGATACTTATGTAAGACATCATGGGGTCCAACAATGAAATTCAAGTCTACATGGGCTAGGGTAAAGGACGAGGAAATTTGTATATTCAGGCAACATTTATTAAATGACTACTATATATTAGACAATGGAGGTACAAAAATGGTACAAAGATGAATGAAACAGGATGCCTGTCCTTTTATTTTCTGCATTCTCCCCCCAGGAAAAGCCTTTGTTCCCACCATTCCATCCAAATATTCTTATTAAGGTCTCTGTTGGCTTCCCCCTTGCCCAAGTTCACAAGCAGACTGCAGATGATGAAACTGAGCACTCTTTTCTTCTTCACACACTTTCTTTTCTGGAATACTCCTACCTAATGGGCAGTACTCAATTTCCTCTGAAGCCTCTTCTGCCTCTGTTTCACCTCTTAGTCCCTAATTACTCTATCACAGCACTTGATACTTGAAATGATCATTTCTTGTTTACTTGTTTACTATTTTCTCCCTTTATCCGTGTACTTCCTGTACTTGGAATATGGCCTGACACATAACTGCTTAATGAATGCAAGTTGAATTTATGCGTGAAGATAAGAGAGTCACTGTCGCAGACTCAGTTACAGATTTGAATAATTATGATATCATAATTAGCATAAATTTCAGGGAAAAGTTTTCTGAGCTGAAACTAGAACTAAATGGCTCAATAGAGGCTTACATGTGGAACAGTGTGAAGATTTCCAGATCCAGGGACCATGAAGGAAGCATGACCCAGGATGCCTCAGGAGAGAAAGCACAAAAAGGTAGGGGCTGTAGACAAGCTGGCCACACTACTTCTTATTTTTTATTTTTATTTTATTCTTCTACACTTACGTTATTCTCAAGTCTATTATTTCCAGTGAGCTCCTTTGACATTATAAAATGCAGATGCCATCACCGCGAGTTAATGGGAATATCTCGTGAACCACTTTGAGTTAGTGTGTATACAATGTGTATTCAGATGCATGCAAATCATAAGTGACAGCTCACATTTCCCCCTTCTCCTCTCCCAGTCACTGCATTATCTGCAGAAGAGAAGGTGATGGCAAAGATCTTTGGGCATTCACTCTAAAGCTTTGTGTTGCTCAGCAAACATTTTACCTCCAAACTGCCATTTGTCTTTGTGTTTTAGGGGTGAGGAACTGAAATACAAGAGATAGAAACAACTTGGTTAATTTAGTCATTTTGTTTGAAAGATCAATCAGTTCCCTATGAGAAATTTTCCGGGATGGGAACCAAAGTACCTGGGATGCAAAAGCAGCATCTCCACCACTGGCTCTGACGGTGATGCTGCATTAGCTGTCAGCAGTAATCACACTTACATCCTCTTTCCAGGCCTCCAGCTATGAGGGACGCCATTACACTCTCCCTGTCTAGTCGCAAAGCACTTGACAACAAATGCACAAGCAGTCAAGGCTAAGCGGTGCTTGAGCCTGTCCCTGGCACGGGGACCTCTCCAGCAGGTGTGCACTGAGTCATGCCGCACTTGGCGCAGGCCATCAGGACCCATATTTGGGCACCCCGATAAGGAATTTGTGTCCATTTGGATCTGAACTGCAAACTCCACTTCAGGACAGGAAGCCACTGCTGAAACTGGAGAAGTCTCTCAATTAGTGAATGGCAGGAGTATCTACCAGCTCTGCTTCTGTTTAAGTGGCCAGACAAGATTCTTAAGAAAGGTTACTTCGCCTTAGTCTTTCAAAGGAATGTCTACACACATGCATTCAAGGTTAGGTTCTGGTGCTTTTTGCTTTTCTCTTTTAAATATTTTAGTGACATAGCCAAGTATTCATTCACAATAAACCCCCTCAAGGAAGCATGAACAAGCTCAGAACATGTTGGGTTAACTATTTTTCCTCAGGCTTTGGATTTACAGAATGTATCTCCACTGCTCATTTTCAAATGTGAATAGCTATGGCATCGCAGCAAGCCTTGAGCATGAATTCCTTATTAAAAAGGACTTCCAGGCACCTTTGGGCTCAAGGAGGGCCTCAGGCCAGGGTAATTAAAATGTAGCCCTGAACAACATGGCTAGATGATATGTGGCACCGTAATGAGAGATTATTAATTTAATTACAGAAAAAAAGCTAAACACTTCTAAAATGATTAATTGCCTCAGACTCCACATTTTATTGAATGGATGACTATCTAAGGGGTTAATTTTCATCTGGAAAAACTCCTATTCACTCTTGAATACCCTTTTCCGTTATTACTTAATTTGTGAAGTTTTTCCAAGTCAGAGTTTATCATTTTTTCATTTTTACTCCTATTAAATTCTATTTACAAGTTTCTTTGGAGTTATTAACAAGCATGTAGAAATATTCTTTTCCTGACCTCCACCTAAAATTATACTCTTTCCCATTTGTTTTGAAAGAGGTAGGCAGCACTCTTGATCCTTCTTGTATTTTCTCACCTTTGACTTTGACATGAAAATGGAGAACGATTTCTTTACTGTATGAAAAGAAGAGTCCGAGTGTAATAATTACTGTGGACATAAAAGGGAGTTGTAGGGATTGCGGAGAAATGGGGAAGACGTGACCCAGCAAAAAGCAGCAGCTGCTCCTAGAATCAGCAAATTGTTACTGTTAAAAATGTGGGTGAAGTCATCCGTGTCTTTGAGAAAAGCCAAAAATGAAGATGAAAAGCCAAAATGAAGATTTTAAAGATATATAATATAAATATATTACATATATTTTTATATGTTAACATATATT
This sequence comes from Homo sapiens, assembly GCF_000001405.40. Lineage (NCBI taxonomy): Eukaryota > Metazoa > Chordata > Mammalia > Primates > Hominidae > Homo > Homo sapiens. The sequence goes on from NC_000013.11 coordinate 78,962,329, forward strand.
TATATGTTATTTGTATAGAATATAAATATAGCACATATATTTTTGTGTTAGCATATATGTTATTTATACATAATATATATACACATATATACATCCAAACTGATTATTAAATGTTAGTTCACATTTATTTGTATAATGCTATGCCAAATACATAGTGTTTGTACAATAAAATACCAAATACAGCCCATCTGCAAGCACAATTTGATCCATAGGCTGCCAATGTCCAAGCCCTTGCTGGCACTGTGAATCTTTACCCTCGCTCAGTCTCCTTTATCACCAGCATCATGTGTGGCACCATGGAGCAGAGAGGAGGAAGCATATCTAAGAAAAAGAATGCACCCTGCTACCTCAAGCCCCACTAGGCCATTGTATATCTTGAAATAGGTCTGGTCTTCCTAACCTCCCCAGTCTTTGCATGTCTTGTTTCCTATACTTCAAAAGACCTCCCTAACTTCATCTGAACTCCTATTCGTGAAACAAGATCCAAATGTCTCAGATAATTATCCCTTTTTCCTCTATTCATTTAGCACTTTGTTAAGATCTACATTTCAGCAGTTGAACTGCTGAAATTCCTTACTTACCTCACCATTTCCAACTGTGATGTGCCTCAGCATCACCTGGAGAACTAGTTAAAACAAACTGCTGAGCTCCACCTCTGGAGTTTCTAATTCAGTGGTCTGAGGTGGGGCCCAAGAATTTGCATTTCAAATGTCACCACATACTGCTGGTCCAGGAATCACACTCAGAGAACCCCTGGTTTACACTTTGATCTATGTATAGCTTACCTGTGGCTCTCCAGAGTTGGCATAGATAATAATTCTTTTATTAGAATATTAGTGACAGTCACTATGGCTTCCCTATCGTATTAGTCAAGGTTCTCTAGAGGGACAGAACTAACAAGATAGATGTATATTTAAAGGAGAGTTTATTAAGGAGTATTGACTCACATGATCACAAAGTGAGGTCCCACAATAGGCCGTCTGCAAGCTGAGGAACAAGGAAGCCAGTCCGAGTCCTAAAAGCTCAAAAGTAGGGAAGTCAACAGTGTAGCCTTCAGTCTGTGGTCAAAGGTTCAAGAGTCCCAAAACTGAAGAACTTGGAGTCCAATGTTCGAGGGCAGGAAGCATGCAGCGTGGGAGAAAGATGTAGGCCAGGAGACTGAGCCAGTCTACTCCTTCCACATTCTTCTGCCTGCTTTTATGCTGGCCATGCTGGCAGCTGATTAGATTGTGCCCACCCAGATTGAGGGTGGGTCTGCCTCTCCCAGTCCAATGATTCAAATGTTAATCTCCTTTGGCAACACCCTCACAGACGCACCCAGGAACAATACTTTGCATCCTTCAATCCAATCAAGTTGACACTCAATATTAACCATTACATCTATCAAACCAATCTAATGAACATCTGCCTAATGTCAGTGGGAAGGTAGTAGTAGATCCATATGACCCCCTCCAGGAAACTGTCATACACCTGTAGAACCAAAGAGCTTGAGAAGTTCTTCATGGTCATGGTCATCTAGTTAAATCTGAACATTTTAAAAATGGATAAGAAGAGGCTGTTTGTCTCAGTTAAGTCCCTTCATTTTCCAGTTACACTCTATTTTCCAAGTTCTACTTTCTAATACCAGCTAAATTCATGATATTCTTCCTATAAAATACAGAAAAGGCATGATACATTTTTGAGACTTCCTACTGAAATCCATGGAGCTGGTTAAAATGCTGAACACTGTATAGAACAAAATATTTTTGTGAAGCTTATTGCATTAGCTATATATTTACATTTTTCCACATCACTAATTTCACATGTCTAGGAACCATGCCAGATCTGGACCAAAAAGAAAAAGTGAAAAAATATACCTAACTACTTCTGCTTAAGCTACTTACATTTATCTTTTAAAAGTGCAACATTTTATTTGCAAAACTGAGGATGACACAAATGATACTTGCAAACCCTGTGAATGGGTTACACTGACCTCTAGGTCTAATATCAAATATACAGCATATTTTAATATAGATTCCCTAAAAAAATTTAAATTCAGCAACAACTCCTTAGCATATCATATTTCAGTCCTTTCTCTCAAATAGTAAAATTATCTTTTCTTCAACTCATCAGGTGACATTGACACCTCACTCTCACCCTGACTCCCACCATTATCCTAGAGGATTTTAGCTTTCATGGTGATAATTCAACAGATCCAACAACTATTTACCTGGTGTCTATTGTATGCTGAGTACTGTTTTATAAGTTATGGATATGGTAGCCAAATAAGATAGTTTTAAGGTCTTGCTTTTGAGGAGTTCCTGATCTGGTGTGGGCTACAGCAAAGAAATAAGCAAACAAATAACATAGTTTCAGAGAGTGATAAGCACTAGGGGAAAAAAAAAGCAGAATAAAGGCAAAGATAATAATGAAGGAGGGATTCCATTTTTTACAGAGACAAACAGGTGACATTTGAGCTTGACCTGCGTAAGATGGAGAAGGTGTGTGGAATTCTGGGCAGACAAGAGCAAGTGTAACAGCCTGAAATAGGAATAAGCATGTCATTTTTAAGAAATGGCAAGAAGGCCAGGAAAGAGGAGGAGATTGTTATGGCAAAGGTGGAAGAGGCAGGCAGGGTCAGATCATGGGGGCCTGTGTAGGCCAGAGTCCTAATGGAAATGACAAGTCTTTGAATGTTTATAGCAAAGAAGTAATGCAAACTGATTTGTGTTTTATAAAGCTCAGTTTGTCTGATGTGTAGAGAATTGATTCTAATAGGTATGAGTGATAGTCAAGTGTATAAGGCTAGTGGTGGTGATCCTGGTGACGGAAGATGGTGGTATGAATAAGCTGCTGGGATGGAAGATGTGAGTAACAGCCTAAAATAGAAGGCATTTCAGCTGTGTTTAATAGTTTGAGTAGGAGAGTAGAGGTCAGAGGATTAGATTAATCTGAAGGTGGAGGGAAGTTGTTTTAAGGACAGACATAAGGAAGAAAATGGATTGAGAGATTTGTGGGTGCCCAGGAAGAAAGATTGAAATGAAAGACCAGTGTTCAGGAAGGGAACAAAACAAAAGTTAAACCAGAATGGGCTGATCGATTAGGAACAATTGATGGGAACAAAATTCATAGAATTAAAAGAATTGATGCAGATGAATAGCAAACACAATAATAGCAAAGGATAGTAGGTTATAGGCAGAGCATGGAGTATTGTGATTTGATTTTAGAGGTGCAGCAATTCTGAGTTGCTCATTCCAGTCTGTTATTTGTAAGCATCCATCCTCACTCTGTGAGTTGTACAGTAGCTTATGTAGAAATAATGATCAACTAGATGCCCATGGGTGGCCATTTTGTACCTCCTCACTTGTCAGGCTTCCCTCCTCACTCCTCAGTTTTATACTCCTGATCTGATTTAGTTCTGTTGGTTAACTCATCATCCATTTGTGTTTCCAATCTAAACATCATCAGTTTGATGGCTGGTTAATTTCCTTCTAAGGAACCTAAGTCTCCTTATTAACTATCGCTTTCTTCTTTTCTCTATGACTCTCTGAATAACCTTGAGGATAGTATCTTCATGTTTTCATCTAACCTCTGTACCTCTCATCCTTAGGTTTTCCCCAGTGGACGTACCTCATCTCTCCAATAGGACTCACAACTGGATAACCACAGGGTGTAGGGTGTGGCTACAGTGGTGTGTTTTAGATGTGGGTTGAAGTTGAAAGCCACTAGAGGACAAGAAGACAAGAAAGTATTGAGCTAGAAGATTGGATGAAATTGATTTTCAGGTTAAAACTACATAAAAGTGGCTCCCCCCAACACTGCTTCTCAATCTTACAATCTTTCACTGGAATGTTAACTTTCTTTCTTATCAAGATAATTTTGTACATTTCTCTTTTTGAGCCTTCAACTCCTCTTCTTTTGATTCTCAGCTAATAATTCACATATTATGTCACAGAGAAAAATAGAAAATCAAAGAGAACTAGCTCATCTTACCACCAGCAAATCTACCAACTGACCTTTATCTTTGGGCACACATTCTATCCTCTTTACTTTTAAATGTTTCTCAATCTTCATCCCCCCGATTATTGCCCTTTTTCTAACTTTCCTCCACAACCAAACTTAATAGTCCACACCCATCCCCACTTTTCCACTCCCTATTCACTCCTCACCCCACTGCAGTTTCTGGCCCTATGCCCCACTAAATATGTGTAAGTCTCAAATGGTTTCCTCACAGCCATGTCCAGTAAATAATTTTCAGGCTTTACATTTCACTTGGGGTTTCTCCTAGTACCCCAAAACTTACTCGTTCTTGGAACCTCTGGTGCAGCCATCGTGAAGTAAGTCCATTACAGTCTATCTCTCCTACTATGACTAAAGTCTTTATTCAAAGTACAAAAAGCAACTACTTGAGGACTCTGAAAAATAAACAAAAGCAGGTACATTGGGGAAGGATGTCAAGGCATTTAAAAATGATTTATATGTAAGTTAATTTCCCTTTTATTTTCTCTTTTTTCTATCATGGACTTGAGCCAAGACAGGCTTCCAGTGAACCTGACACAACATCACTATGGGCATCTAACATGTTGAGATAATTCTGTCTTTATCTCTAGAAGGCTAAGATATAGGCCTCTATGAGCAAGAGAACATGAGGGGAATCATCCTTTATTTTTTTCTCTCATGGCTTGATAAGAGTGGAAATGATACTTCCAGTGGTGTCCATATTGTGGGCAGTGCTATAAAGCTTACACTCCAATAGAAACCATATCCTTCTGGCTTGATGAATAGGTTATAGGGGACTCTTCAATCAGGAGAGTATTAGGATGAGTCCCATTTTCTGTCTTTGTTCTTGCCTGAGATGGCCACAATCATTGGAGTTATTCAGTATGCAAAGGCAGCAAGGAATTTAGCCCCAAGTTAAATTCCATATTTTTGGCCTGAAGATCAGGGAAAGAGGTCCCTTCCAACTGAAAAGTGTGGGGGAAATCCTGGAGATGAGAGATTTGGAGAAAGGAGTCCCCTAATTCTGCGAATAAACAAGTTTAGCTTCTGGGTTTACTCTCGAAGTGTACTTGTGCAGGATAGATCCAAAAGTGCACAGCAAAAGTTTTGATAGTGGAACCTCAATTTTAAAATATCACCTAGGTCTTACACTAACCTCTGAGTGGTACATGCTCACAGTGGACCCCAAATGGCATATCAAAGGCTTCGCTAATTGAACTGACATTGGAACAATCATTTCCATAAAGTGAGACAGAAATTGCAATCTGAACCTAACTTGGTGAATGCCAAGCAAACCACCACAACCACCAAAAAAAAAAAAAAAAAAGTATATTTTCCTGAGGATTTTAATAGAACCTAGAATGTAAACAACATATTTAAAATGTCTAGGTTGCAATACAAAAGTATTCAATTTACAAAGTACTCAAAAATTGTGACAAATTCCAAAGGGAAAGATTATCAATAAGTGCCAATCTTGAGATGATCCAGATGTTAGAATTATCAAAGACTTTAAAGCATCTATTATAAGTATGTTCCATCAGATAAAGGCAAACATTCTTGAGTAGAAATATGAAAGTTATCAATAGAGAAATAGAAATCATAAGTAAAAAATATTGCAACTATCTGAAATAAATCTTATAACTTATTTTTTTAAATTCTCACAATTTGCCTTCTACTGTGCAACTCCTCTCACATTTTCAATCTGAATCTGGTAGATCCTTCTCTGTCCTCCTCACTGTTTTTTCTTCTTCCACCAAGATCTCATTTTTGTCATTGATTTCTTCTCATTTTACTACATATTTTCATATGTAAGCTTATACACAACTTATCTACTCCTACTATCTTTTTCTCTATACCTACCATTCATTCTTTATACTATGGCTTTTATGCTTTTGCTTCCAACAATCCACAGAAGTTGCTCTAATTCAGTTGGTCAGTGAAACTCTTTATGGCTAAAGGCAATGGACAATTTTTAGTTCACATTATTAATATTCTTTTCTGAATATGTTTCTGGTGGCCACAGTACTGGGTAGAATTAGATGTTCAATACGTTTATTATTTAAATTAGTGAATGGCTACTCCCTTAGCTCCCATGTAAACAAAATTTTCTTTTTAAGAAATGAAAATCCTTTTGGCCATTTTTCTACATTTCCCATATGGGTTCCTCTTGCTTTCCCCACCCATTAATTGTTGGTGTTCACCAGAGTTTTATCATCAGCCTACTGGTCTTCCTTTTCAACACAATCTCCTGAATATTACTTACTCTCCTAATTTGGCTTAAAGGCTATATGCTATTGACATTTAAATTATTTATCTGTAGGTCTAAAAATTTTCAAATCCTCATTTGAGTATTTCCACTTAAAAGTCTTAAAAATACACCACTAACACCCCTAAACCTGATTCTCTTTTTGCATTATAAAATACACAGTTTGTGGTACTATCATGCTCCTGAGACCCTAGGAAAAAACTTGATAAAATCATCCCTCTTTCTTACCCTGGCCCTATCTTGTCACATAGATTTGCTGGTTTTACTTCCTAAGTATTTCTCAAGTCACTGTTTCTGTCTGTTGTACTCTTATTGTTTAATTCAATCTTAATCCATTTCTGACCTACAAAATTGCAATATACCCCTACTATGAGCTTCCTTTCTTTTTCCCCTACAATTCCAAACAGTTCCTATGTAGAGTTCTTAGCAATAGAAATATGATTATCTATTATTTTCTTCAAACTTATAATTAGCTGCTACTCTCTATGAAATAATTCCTAGCTCTGTGTTATTTCCTCTCTGGCAGTCCTTCCAGGCTCCTTTCTTGCCACTCCCTGCCTCACGTTTTAAACTCTAACAGTAGTAAACTACTTATAATTATCCAAAATAACCCTGTGGTTATGATTTCATAAACATTTGTTTTATATCTGTTGTCTGTAATAGTCTTCCCCCATCCTGCCTCTACAAATAATAATTATAATAGTTGATGTTTATTGAGCACTTACTATGTCTAGCAATAGCTTTGTCTTGATAGGGACCCTTGCATTTAATCCTCAGAACTACGTTGAGATAGGTATTGTAGAACTACTATAATCACCATTTTAGAGATGAGAAAACCAAGGAACAGAAAAGTTTAAGTGACTTACAAAAGAAAATAATAAGCCCAAAACCTAAACCAGACATTATAACTCCAGAAACTGCAAATTACCATACTTTATAGTATCCAAAGATCTTCTATCCAACTTTCCACACTCAGCTCAGAAATCACCTTTAAGAAAACATCTTTGAATAGACCGGGCATGGTGGCTCATGCCTGTAATCCCAGCTCTTTGGGAGACTGAGGCGGGCAGATCACGAGGTCAGGAGACTGAGCCCATCCTGGCTAACACAGTGAGACCCTGTCTCTACTAAAAATAAAAAAAAAAAAACTAGCCAGGCGTGGTGGTGGGCACCTGTAGTCCCAGCTACTCGGGAGGCTGAGGCAGGAGAATGGCTTGAACCCAGGAGGCAGAGCTTGCAGTGAGCCGAGATCGCGCCACTGCACTCCAGCCTGGGTGACAGAGCGAGACTCCATCTCAAAAAAAAAAAAAAAAAAAAAAAAAAAGGAAAAAAGAAAACATCCTTGAATAATAAAGACAATCACCCTTCTAAGCTCAGTTAGAGGCCTCTCTACTGGTCTCCCAGACTACCCTGCGCATCTTATAATAGAGGACACCTTGCAGGATCATTACCTGATTGATATCTGTTGTACTTCCACTAAACGTAATTCTTCAGTGGCATGGGTTATATTTTATCTAACTTTGTAGCCAAAGCACCTTGCAAAGTACTTCATACAGTGGTCACTCAATAAATAGTTGTTCAACTAAACATAAATAGCTGTTAGCCCAGACCTCTGTGCTTTTAGACATCTACTGGACGCCACTGTTTAAATCCGCCCATCAGTACTTAAGGACTTGGATAAAATTAAATTCCTATATTTTCCTTTCTATTGCTCAAGATTGTCCTTGACTCTGCCATTCCTTTCTTGAATAATATACTAATGTCTTTACAATTAACCAAATCAGAAGTCTAGGAAGCATCAAAGACTTTTGTATTGTGCCCAGTAACTAATTGGTCATCAAGTGCTTTAAGTTCTATCCTCTCTATATCTCTTAAGTCTTTCCTCTTTCCCATAATCCCATTGCTTCTGGTGCTTCCCTCCAACTCAGAAATTATTTTGAGACATTGCCTCTCCTCACATGCATATCATTACCTCTTTCCTCATCACTGGCCTGCAAGATTCTTGAGAAAAAGGATAATCTTTTCATCTTTGTACTTCTAAGTCATGCGTGTGTCCTCTTGAGTCATGAGTAAAGACGTGAGTCAAGCAGCTCATCTCATTGGCTGGTAGCTATTAACTTATACTCTGAAATAATCTAAAGAGAAAATTTCTCTCACAAAGGATTATACCTATAATAACCCCCAGAATTGTTCATAAATATTACAGTTCTTCTCTCTTTTCAGGTGTATTGTAGGATTACACTTCCTTACCCATTTCAAAGTTAGGTGGGCATGACTTGATTCAGTTAATGAAATAGAAAGGATTGGATGACCTCTGGACAGAAGCTTTAAAAAATAGTTCATAATTTGACCCATCCCCTTCCTCTTGCTGCAGTGATTAAGGAAGGATGTGTGAATGAAAAATTTGTCATATAAAATGTGAGAAATAAACTTTTGTTATATTAAGGCACTGATGTCTTAGGATTATTTGTTACTGCAACATAACTTAGCCTATCCTAACCAGTATAATGTCCTTGGGTACTGGTATTATTTCTTTTCTAGAAGAGTGATGTTCAGGGCAAATCATGCTGCATGTCCCTTTCTTGTCCCACGGACATTTTTATCTAAATGAATTCAGGTTAAAATTAGCATCAAGGGAAGCCTTGAAATGGAATTCAAAGTCCCAATTTGGCGATATTCAACATAAGAATTATGTGTGGAATGAAAAGGGTAATCATATTTGCTTTGAAGGATAATTATGAGCTAATTGTGTGCAAGAATAATGTAACCACTTTTATTCATAACTCTTCTTTTCTCTCTGCTGAGTGTGTAGCACACAGGCTGATCCAGTCAGGGATAATATACCTTCTGGAAGACTTGTAGAGTGATCAAAAGGATACATGCCACAGATATTTTATTGGGGTTTCATAAGTAAGACATTAAGTAAAAAGTTTATCCCCCAAATAACTCAATATGGGAAACATGATAGCATTATAATTATGCTTACTATGCATTTAGAGTTTGCAATGAACCACTAATTGTATACAGTCTATATCCTGCGAGAAAGCTATATAGGTATTTTACATGTATATGTGTGTGTGTGTGTATATGTGTGTGTGTGTATATATGTGTGTGTGTATATTTATACAGACATGTATTTTATATATAATTTATACATATATTTATACAGACATGTATTTTTGATCATCAGTTCCTCCTTGCTAGAAAAAGTAGGAAGTTGACTCTGAGTCACCCTTCATTAACCACAATGCTCACCTTTCCTCTGCAAGGAACCAAATGTCAAATAATCCCAGCGATTTAAGGCATTTCTAAAAGTCATTATAAGCTCACTTGTCATTTTCTAAATTTCTTCTGATGCACATGTTCAGCGTCCTGGAGCTTCTTTTTCTTTTATATTTTCTATTATTATTATTATCCGTCATATCAACACTGTCCATTTCTTTTTTCTTTTTTTTTTTTTTGGTCTATTATTCCTTAATTCCTGTTTTTACTTAGAGGATTGAACTATTTTTCTCCCCTAAGAAAACTGCCATTGATCAGAAAACAGTTGGCTTTTGGCTTCAGTTCAAATGACCTCTTTCCCTCAGGAAGCAAACCAAACTTTGTAGGGTCCTTTATGTTTGGGAATCACGGAACACACCAGCTCTAGTGACACCTCCCTCATTAAGCCTCTCTTTATTCCCTGGGACAAAACTACCTCCTTACATTAGACAGTACTTTGTTCTGTTTTCTATAATAATACCACACTGCTGTACTGTGACCTGCCCTCTTAAAGGTCTTTCTCCTACACAAGACATGAAACTCCCTAAGGGCAGAAAATGTGTTTTTTCCATCTTTCCACCTCTGGTTGTTCAGAGTCTCATGCATTATTTTTAGAATAGAGCCCGTTAAGTCACACTCAACATTATAGAACAGAAGTCTCAAATTGCAGTCTTTGGGACCAGCAGGCATATTCTGTTCAACCCACGAAAAATTGCCCAGCACAGGGCTTTAATATTTTCAAATAATTGCCAAATTTAAGAATTGACAGACTTATCATTTTTCGAAATCCAGAATCCTAGCTCAATATTTAACAAACAAACAGAACAGCAATTAGGAGATTAGGCAACGCTGAGTTCACCTTTCAACATGGAAGCAGCTGCTGGAGCTTAGTAATGGCCGCCATCTTTGAAATGGACACCATGGGTCCAGTTCTCATTAGTTTACCACAGTTTGCCACAAATGGCATGTACAGCTCATAAGCCATCAGAATAGCACCTAAACATGATGGCCTCTTGGGAACAATTTTCAGGTGAGTGGTTTCAGGATGGAGCAGTCTTCTGATTTTCAGACCAAAGATGAAAATGAATGTTGACATAGCTGGACCCTCTGGCCAGGGAAGCCCTGAACTAGCTTCTTCTCGCCTCCAGGGTGAGGTAGCTTTGGTATGGCTGCTTCAAACCAGAGCATACTTTGCACCCTCTCTGCTACTCTGAAAAATCTACTCAGAGTTCAGCTTAACTGTAAGGATTTAAATAACAAGAGAGCAAAGTGGTAACCTAGTCACTTTTTAATGCAGATGCCTTGTGAAGTCCAGGGTCTCAGTAAATTTTGGGGTATGACTCTGGAAAATTACTTACATTAAAGCCTTCAGTGTCTCAGTCTGCCTCTGTATCTTCTTCTCTTTTGTTCCTAACTCTTCTCTTTTCCCTCCCATGCTTCATAATTAAATGTATTTCTGCCCTATTCATGCAAATGATCTCCAGTAATTTTCTCATCATCCTAATATTCAATCTTATTCACTTTTATTTTTTTATCTCTGCATGTTTCTTGTGTCTTAAGTGTGTGGAGTTAGAAAAAGTAAGACCACAACAAAAAAATCAACGCCTTTTTAAATTATGAAAGTAAAATAAATTTCTTATAGAATTTTCAAAAAAAAGTAACAGAAAATCAAAATGATCCAGTCCTCTCTCTAGCTTTTCTTTGTGATTATATGTTTCATAACAGAAATCATGTTGCACACTCTTCTATTAACCTTATCTTATTATCATTTTTTCAAAATTATTTGAAAACATTATTTTTAGTTCAAATATAATATTCCACATATTAATGTATTTATTCCATGTATAAACATTGAAATTATATCTAGCTTATTTTTCATTTTATAAAAAAAAGTCTTTGCCCCAAAATGTAATTAATTCTCTGGAGTTTGTTTCTCAAAGTGAAATTACTGGCTCAAAAATTAAGAATATTAAAAATACATCTGACAACATGTATTGCCAAACAGCTTTTAGAAAGTCCATTTCTGGCCTGGGGTGGTGGCTCACACCTGTAATCCCAGCACTTTGGGAGGCCAAGGCAGGAGGATCATCTGAGGTCATGAGTTCAAGACCAGTCAGGCCAACGTGGTGAAACCCCGTCTCTACTACAAATACAAAAAAAAAAAATTAGCCAGGCGTGATGGTGCACACCTGTAGTCTCAGCTACTCAGGAGGCTGAGGCAAAAGAATCACTTGAACCTAGGAGGCAGAGGTTGCAGTGAGCCGAGATCACACCACTGCACTCCAGCCTGGGAGACAGAGCAAGACTCCATCTCAAAACAAATAACAATAACAGAAAAGAAAGTCTATTTATGTTGCATTCTTATCTGCTGAACATTAGAACACAGGGCTGTCCCACGTTCATTATGAAATTGAAAAATCTTTAATAACAAGTAATTGAAAAAATCATTTTAACTTTATTTGATTACTACTGAGTAATTTTTATATCTTTATTGTCCATTATATTAACTATTTTGTTTCTTAATTGTTAATAGTTGTTGCCTACTTTTCTATTGGCACATTGAGGATTTTCTAACTAGCCTCAAATATTTCTTATTCATTTAGGATGGTAGTTCTGTGTCTGTTACATTCACTGCAAGTATTTCTCCCAATTTGCCAACGGTCTTTTTATTTTTTATGACTCTTTTACATACAAGAGTTAATTTTTTTCACTTAAAATATCTATTTTCCTTTTCCTTCCTTTTGTGCTTAAAAGTCCTTTACATACTTGAGATCAATTAAATAGTCACTGTATTTTCTTAGCTTGTTTTGGTTTCAGGTTTTACATTTAAGTCACCAATTTATTTTATACTTATTGTGGCTCATAGTGCCAGTTGAGTATTAACTAAAATGATTTCATCTGTAAAAGGAAAGGCTAACTGAGAGTAAAATAAGGAGGGACCTCAAACAGTAGAGGGAGTATCACACGAGTGAAGTTCCATCTCCTCACCTGCAAACCAAAAGATACGACTACCTGACAGTGGGGAAGAAATGAGACTTCATAAAATGCTTCACATAATAGTGAGTGACATAAAAGGACACTGAGGTCTTTCCAAACAATTGTTTTTAAACATCATTTGGTATGTGATACTTTCTTATTAGAAAAGAAGTTATCCTAGGTCTGCTGAAAGACTATATCTTCAATTTGCTGATTTTTCTGTAATTCTTCCTCCACTGCTGCAGTTTTATTAGTCTGTTTTATAACAAGTAAAAGAAGTCCCCTGAAGACCAGCCTGGCCAACATGGTGCAACCCCATCTCTACTAAAAATACAAAAATTAGCTGGGCATGGTGGTGCACACCTGTAATCCCAGCTACTCAGGAGGCTGAGGCAGGAGAATCACTTGAACCCGGGAGGCAGAGCTTGCAGTGAGCGGAGATCCCGCCACTGCATTCCAGACTGAGTGACAGAGCGAGACATTTTGTCTCAAAAAACAAACACCTGAATCCTTTTTATTTTTTGAAGGGTTCTTAATTATTTGTTTTATTCTTTTGAATGAATTTAATACTTGTATTATCTCCCTCCACTCCAAACCCACTGGGATCTTTGTTGTAATTTCCTTAAATCTAAAAATTAAATTGTAAAGATGTGCCATCCTTATCATATTGATTTACCCATAAGGAAAGAAAAATAATGGCTAAGTTTTGTGAGGGCTTGCCATATGCCATGTGCCAATACCAGGTATTTTCACCACCAAACTCATATTATCTCCACAACAGTTTTCAGAAGAAAGTACACATTTACAAATGAGGGCACTCAAGCACAGTGAGGAAAGCAATCCTTCAAAAACATCACTGGCCTAACTAATTGCGTGTTTGTTTTTCTTTGGTACACATTATCACAGCCTACTCTCTACCTCTTTCCCACTTTCTCATCCTCACATTTTTTTCTATTTTTCCATTCCTTTCCAAATTCTCCTTTTTTTATGAGACAGTCTCACTCTGTCACCCAGGTGGGAGTGCAGTGGTGCGATCTCAGTTCACTGCAACCTCTGGCTTCAGGGTTCAAGCGATTCTCCTGCCTCAGCCTCCTGAATAGCTGGGATTACAGGCACATGCCACCACACTCAGCTAACTTTTGTATTTTTTAGAAGCGATGGGATTTCACCATGTTGGCCAGGCTGGTCTTGAACTCCTGACCTCAAGTGATCCTGCCACCTTGGCCTCCCAAAGTGCTGGGATTACAGGTGTGAGCTGCCGCACCTGGCCCCAAATTCTCCTTTCTGTATCTACTTTGTCTTCCTCATTTTTCACGTACATAATTGATTATATTATACTACTAAGAAGTTTAAATTTAATTGATTTGAATTATTATACTTTATTAAGGAAACAGCATAAGGGCTCTCCTGACTTTTGTTGCAAGCCAGCCTTCTTTATCACACCCTCAACAACATCTCCACAAAAAGAAATCTACAACTTCTGATGTAGACTCTGGAGCTAAATAGAAAATCAGAATCTATAAGACACAGGGAAGAGAGAAGAGGGAGCAGAAGGAAAGTTTCAAGATTTATTTCTACCACCTACGTTTAATTTCATGGAACCTGAGAGCTTATTTGTTCGCTTTAACATTATTTAGCACCTACTGTATACTGGCATGAGAATCCTGAGGCTTTATCGTTTATCTGTTAGACCTACTATGGTGTTATTCAGTTGGAGAGGAGGAAAACCTCCTGGTTCCTAAAGCACCCAGGCTATGTCAGGGAGGAGTGGAGCACTGTCTCCACTTGGCCCCTATAGAAGTAAATCTTCACTTCACCACTTATCCTTGAGCAGAAGAGGACTGTAGTTGATGATTCACATGAGAGGATGACAATTCAATCTCAATTAGCGTAGATTCTTGAAACATTTCCAGGTTGAAGTAGCTATTCTCAGCCCTCCATAGGCTGGACTGTCCTCCCCAGAGGACTTCTTAGAATTCAATTCTGGCCCATGAGACCAACACCAGATCTAAGCCTAGCTGGGCGTACCTGAAGCCTCAGCATGCCCCAATGTAACATGCAGGCGTTTGGCCATATGGTGTCCCCTGAGCTTGCCGTTCTCTGATTTATGCCAGAATGGGCATATGCTGGGATATTTCAGGACCCTGAGGGGAGAGTCAAAATGTCACACAGCCAGTATGAGGTTAAGCTTCCATTTCTGTGGTTTATGGCTTAAGTAGAAATGGAACCGGAGGGGACAAAAAAATGCCATTATTGATTCTAAAGCCTAGAAGGTTGAGGTTAGGGCATATAAGATAAAACGTTTAGGTTCTCTGAGGTGTGACCTATTTATACCTGTAAAATAGCCTTCAAAAATGTCCAACAAGGAAAAAGATGTATATTTGTATATATTACCCACTTGGCTTCACTTAAGCCTACTTTCTTCATATTCTGTAAAGAGAAATATCTAGAATCTGGTTTTTAAGTGGTGCCTTTTTTTTTAAGGGGGACTTAGTAGGGAAGGGTGCTCATAGGAATGAGTCATCGCTTCAGGATTTATGCTTATTAAAAAGTAAATATAGACTTTTCTCTGTGTTGCTATTTGAACTCCCCATGACTAAGTGATGGTTTAGTTCAACCAATGTTAGATGCCGCCTATACGTAGGGGCTAAGTATGCTTCCCAGTTGGAGAGGGTTGCCCTCCCAATAAGCATTCTGACAGGCATATTGGACTAAGGACAGAGGACATCATGTGGGGGCAGGAAGGCTGCCAGATGGCAGAGGCAGAAGGAGAGAATGCATAGAAGGCCAAGTGAAAGGAACAATTTACAGGGAACTCCCCCATTTGTGGAGAGGTGTGAGCATGGAAGCATGGAGGGATAATGTGGAAGGGAGCTGTCCCAAATATTGGAAAACAGGAGGTCCATTTTCAATCTAGACCTTCCACCTAAATGAACAAGAAATAATAAATACAAGAATTCACATCAGGGAAATTGGTTTTATTCACAATTGAAGGGTAACTAATTTTAAAGAGTTTACTTGGTGGCCATGAGAAGTGTACGTTTTGGGTATAAAAATGATGCCAATTGCCAGCACTCACAGGTTGTGATGAAATGTTGCCAACTTTTTTACACACTGTTCATTTTTACCATTAAGGCCTCTCATGAATCTTAATAAATCCAGTTTCATAAAATACAAAGGCATGCTCTCTTTTCTCTTAAAGAAAGAAAAATACTAGTGAATTCATGGCCTTTTCTTTATAATGGAACCTGCAATATAAATCTAATGTTTAACGCATCAGAAATTTATAATTTCCTTTTGAATTATATGAATGCACACCACTCAATACTAGTAATTCATTTTGTTAGTTTTGATCAAAGAGTTAATTACTATTTGAATGAAACTCTACTAATGAATGAATATAAAATTAAGATCTTCTCATGATGGCAATCGGTTACAAATAAGACATAAGAAAGATGCAAATCATGAGGCTCCATTTAGGTTTCATGAACCAAGTGCTTCTAACAGGAAGATAAATACAGAGCAATATTCAAGTCCTCTGAAGCTTAAACCAAAACAATATTAATTGTATAGGTGGGGAGGGGAGAGGGGATAAAAAGAAAATGGAAACAAGCAAAGAGTTCTCAGTTTTCAGGCATAGGAAGAGGTTTGTTTATATGTAGTTGAGGACAGACACAAATGCATAAATGAATGTATATAGTGCAATCAGCAGTTATCACAAATCTGCTTGGATTCAACAGTAGAGCTGACAGAACTTGGTCAATGTTAAGACTGTGCCACCTTCTGGTTGTCATGTGTATGACAGGTGTTCATATTGTTTACAGACTAGCATTTCTGTATTATGCAAAACTTATATTGAAGGGAAACAGCAGATCCATTCCTGGTGCTGTTCACTTTCTCCCCTGGGGACTGTATTGGAATGAGAACACGATCCATAAATGTACTCCAGTGACTGCTTTGCTTGAAAATCTGAGTTTGCTTTTTAAGCTTGATCAACTGTAATGGTATATGATAGTCCAGACACAAGCTCAGACAGCACTGCAGTTGTGAAAGCAGGAGATTTGGTTGCTTGTCTTTTCCCTGGTTGCCACTTTCTGAATTTCTTAGAGCCAGAGAAATGGAGCTCCAGCAACCGAAACAAGGCCTCTGTCAATCAAATAAATCAGATGGGGGAATATACTGTTGTGTCTGCAAAGCTGCAAAATAATAAATACACGTGTAGCCTAATTTCTGTGCAACTGTTAACATGCAATTGGGGCCAAAAGATGATTTGAGGGATTATGTTATGCTTAAATTCCTCCACAGTCTCAGTCGGATCAATTATGGGATCACGGCTTTTGGAGTCCTGGCTGGATGCTAACATACCTTTGCCACCAAGCTGAGCATCCTAGCTGAAGGACTTCTAGAGGATCCATGGCCACTCATTTCATAAATGTATCTGCTGTAATTTGTATTTGAAACACTGGAGTTTGAAAAGGTAGTCCCAAAGGAAAGGTATTGTTTTTTTCATGTGCATTGCTTAGGGGTTTGTGTCTTAAAATTAGCCCTGGAAACCTTAAAATCCTATAATATTTTAAATGTGTCTAAAGAGGCAAGTAGATTTACAGAGACAGAGTAATCTTAATTGAGTAATTGTTCTTTACACTTTATCATTGTAGCCTGCTAAGTTTCTTGGGTAGGGTAGGTGGCCCTCTCCCACACTACCTTCTCCCTCTTCCCCTATTCCATCTGACGCCCACACTGCCCACCCTCTGCACCCACACATACACTCTCAGCCCTGAAAACAAACAGAAAACCAAGAATACTTTTACCCACAGAAAGAAGTGGTACTTTACCGTAATGACCGAGATGATTTCTTCGACTTTCTATTTCACCTTGCCTATGATGATCGAAACAAACTTTTTGCAAATTCAGGCTTTTCTGAATCTGCAAATAAAGTGATCGAGAATGAAATAATCGGAAAAAAATCAAAATGCAGGTTTGCTTTAAAACACAAAATTCAGCTGCTGTTACTGTCCTACATTATCACCCTAAATTGATATTGGGATTGGCTTTATGTAAAATTTGATTATGAAGAATAAAGTCTTCAAAGACAAGTTTTTTAAGAGTATCCTAATTTGTGATTACTTATCCTTCTTCATTGAAGGGTATACATGGCTGCTTTGCAGTGTTTACAAAACTAAAAGAACAACAAGATCAAAGTGTGAGGTTGGTAGGGATGTGAATATAAGATGCAAAGAAAACCACTTGAAAATTGATTAAATATCAGTGAAATTTGTCCAGGCATGGTGGTTCACACCTGAATCCCAGCACTTTGGGAGGCCAAGGCAGGTGGATCACCTGAAGACAGGAGTTTGAGACCAGCCTGGCCAATGCAGTGAAACCCCGTCTCTACTAAAAATACAAAAATTATCTGGGCATGGTGGCAGGCGCCTGTAATCCCAGCTACTTGGGAGGCTGAGACAGGAGAATTGCTTGAACCCAGGAGGCAGAGACTGCAGTGAGCCGAGATCTTGCCACTGCACTCCAGCCTGGGTGACACAGTGAGACTCTGTCTCAAAATAAAATGAAATAAATGAAATTTAGGAGCCAGCTTGAGGGGCCCCCACCAGACAAGTCTGGGACCATTTAGAATCAAAATAAATAATGACAGTAAAAGTTTGTACCCACTGGATAGGGTAAAACTCCATGAGTTCATGTTAATATAAACATATAAACAAACATATGAATGAGAAGGAAGTTTTCTAACAATAGGAAGGCAACATTTGTAATAAATGTTAAAGAAATTATGAAATTAGAAAAACCACCATTTGGCAGCCCTAATAATAATAATTGACTCAGGAAAGTATCATTAATGGACTACAACCAGTGGATAAATTTTGAGAAGAATTATTGATATAATATCATAGTTTCTCTCCACTTTTAAAGACTTGAAAGTAGAGGATCGTGGTAAATCTCCCTTTAACCAAGTGCTCAAAGTTAACATCACCAACAAATGCACAAATCTAGTTTGTGCTTCCTGAGAGAAAGCACTGATAATTAAGTATTGCTTTTGTGTTATTCCTACCAAAAGCCCAAATCCTAAATCTAACATCATGAAGAAACATTAGACCAACCTTATAATTGGCTTATAAAATGTCCCTGTCATGAGCCACAAAGAAATAGTAAATACTGTTCTAGATTTTAAAAGACTAAAGAGACCCGATGGTTAAGTGTGACTTTGTGTTTTTTTTCTTATAAAAGACATCAAGTCAATTAGCAAAATCTGAATATAAGTTGGTTGTTTAGGTAATTGTATTGTCTCAGTGTTAGTCTCCTGACTTTATTAATTGTATTGTAGTTAGATAAGAGCATTTTCTGTTTTTAAGAATTGCAAACTGAAGTATTTAAAGGGAAGGAGTTTTCATCCCTACAATTCTTACATTATTTATAAAAATACATGATAAATGTTAATATTAGGATATGAGAATTATTTGTATTATTCTTGCAACTTTTCTACAAGTCTAACATTTTCAAAAAGTAAAAGAAAATAATCAGTAAAAACAGGATGACACTGCCACATCTTTTGGCTCATAATGAGTACCTGTTCCTTTGCCAAATAACAGGTAACTAATTTTTTATTTAAAAAGCAAGTTGTTTTAGTCTTATGCAGACTCAACTTGAAACACTGAAGACAGAATTGGGAAATCATGTCTTTTCAGAGTACCCTCTTTGCATATCCAGCTGTACATCAGTTCCTTTCCTGTTTGAGTCTCACATTTTCTCTTTTCTTTCCAGCACTTTATTCTTTTATTCAAAAATCTTTTATTGTGCCCCATTTGCAACCAGACCCTGTGAATTTCTGGGCATTCAAAGATAAGTCAGACTCAGCTCCCAGGCGAAAACATACATAGCTAATTCTAGGAGAGTATGTATGTTTCATAAGTGTAACAAAGGTAGAAAAACGGAGGGGGAAAAATAGGAGGAGTCTTGGCAAAGGAACAGAAGTATATTATGCAGGCAGAAGTTGGTGGGGAGATTGAAAACACTGGGGGGTAGCAGGTGGGCAGTTTATGGAGGGATCTCCCAGTGACCCACTATTGCTGGAGCACTGGGGCAGTGGTCAGGGATGCAACGGCAGAGGAGGTAGGCGCTATGTCAGAAACTGTTTGCCCAACTATAGAATTTGAATTCTGTTACTTGGTGATGGGAAACCGTGAAGGTTTTAAGCAAGACTGTGATGTGCTTAGGTTTATTAGAAGGTTCTATGCTGCTCAGCCTCCCTGTCTAGTTCTTTGATTTATTGACTGTTTCCTCACTAAATGACTGCTTTAGGTCAGATGCTGCACAAGTTTGAGGCACATATGACCAAAAGATGTGGTTTCTGTCTTTATACAACATTCTCATTCTGGGGTCTCTGTGGCTTTTTTGTTTGTTTCCTATTGTTTCTAACACTCAAAATTGGGCCACATTTAAAGACCACTGCAAGTTGTAGTTGGTCTGCCCTTTTATTTATTTGCGCCTCTTAACCTCTCCCTAGGACTCCTAAACTTGCTGTCTTTATTAAGCTACAAGAAGAACATACTTGGAACAAACTACTGTGCAGTATAAGGCAAACTTTGCCTTTCCTAGTCAACCCTAAAGTAGCTAATTTAAACTATACTCAAAGCTTTATGCTCAATTCTAGCAGGTAATATTGAAATTATAGAATTCCCTAAAATTCATCTTTTTAATTCATTTGCTTAACAATATTCCTGTCACCTTAACATTTATCAGATAAAATAATTTTATCATTTGTAGAATTCTAAAATGTGGCTAGCCATTATTTTCAATTATTTTTTCACAATATAGCATAAGCATTTATATTTCCTGCTTAGTATACTAATTAGGTTAGTAGCCTCTGGTTCTAAGTTCTGTAGTATTTTATTTCATAATGTTTGACAGCTATCTTGTATGGAATATAATTTTCACAGTATAAATTCACATATTAGCATTATTTTTTAAGGTATATTTTTATTATAAGGGTCAGCAAGGAGGAAATACTCATAATCAGGTACAGTCATGGACCACATAATGACGTTTTGGTCAATGAAGGACTACCTATCTGATAGTGGTACCATAAGATTACAATAGAGCAGGAAAATTCCTATCACTTAGTGACAGGAATATGAGTTGTCATAATGTTATAGTGCAATGCATTACCTTTTCTGTGTTTAGATATGTTTAGATTCACACATACGGTATTGAGCATAGTAACATGCTGTATAGGTTTGTAGCCCAGGAGCAATAGGCTATACCCTATAGCTTGGGGTGTAGTAGGCTATAACATCTAGGTTTGTTTAAGTCCACTGTATGATATGAGAACAATGAAATCACCTAACAATGCATTTCCCATAACATATCGCTGTCATTAAGCGACACATAACTATGGTTTTGATTTTCTCAAAAAAACATTATTTCACTCAACCAAAGCATGCACTGTGTATAAAACATTTAGTTAGGAGCTCTCAGAGGACACTGAAGAAAGAGAGAGAGAGGTAAGAAAAAAGGTGGCTTACCTAGGAAAATATATCTGGTAGAGAACTAATACAGGCTTCTCTAATAGATATTTCCATAAGTTTTGGACTGGAATTTGAATCTTCATGCTGGTGTAAGTTCAGCCAAGTTACTTAACCACTGTGAAGCTCCGTTCTTTGTGTATGAAATGGAGATCATAATGACACATCACTGCCTCTTGATCTTCTTCTATTCACCCCTAGGCTCAGAAAACAACAGAGATTTTAAAAGTTGAAGAAAAGGGAATACACTGTCCTTGCTGCAGCTCTGGCTTCTTGTGAGTGTGGCAGTCCATGGAATTTTCCTTCCCCTTTAATCCAAAACCCAGAAGCCTCTGGTCTTCTTGAAATGTCATTTAGAATTGTAGATATTCTAGCAATCACTTTAAAATAGGTTCTGCTAACATATCAGATTTCTGCCCCAATTGTCAGTGCATAAAATAATGACATTTATGTTATGACTAGTATTCCATGAAATTTTTAAATAAGCAATTGGTTTTAAAATCCAAGTTTTGGCTACATCACTTTCATCAGAGATGCTTTACTAGCAAACAGAAAAACTTTAAATTGTGCCTATTTGGATTTTTTTCTCCTCTCCTGTTACCTCATCTCGTGTAAATACTATTGAGCAGGGGATTGACTAAAGATTTGTCACCAGGAGGAAAAAGTTGGAGAAGGAACCGCACTGCCTCATGTGCTGGCTCCATGTTGGCAGATGGTAGGAACAGAACATCACCTTTCTTGCCGTGGTTGCAAGTCATTCCCGAAGCAATGAAGAGAGAGGGTCCTGTTGAGCTCTCTTCATGGGAGACACATGTATCCTGGGATCTTGTGCATGTCATGTTGGTGTTTGTGATACCCTGACATAGTGTGCATGGCATGCTACTGTATTATAGGTGAAATGGTGTGAGCCACTTTGGGACTGGTGCTACCCTTCCCATTCCAGTTAACTTGGCCATGGTCATTAACTACTTGTGGATATGGGCCTCTAAATTAGAGAAGAAAAGTCCAATCCCTAATTCAGGGCTTACTTAGTCACAGAGAAGAAATTGGTTTCAGTGGTCCAACCTCGAGTCAGACAACCAGCATGTGGTGTAGCCTCAGGACGCTGGCCCCTCTACTCTCCTTCCTTGCTGCGTGACCTTGGGACAGTTACCTAGCCTCCCTGAGCTTTAGCTTCCACACTTGTCAGTTGGGAATGACAAAACTTACTTTGTAATAGTGTTGAGTTTTAGTAATAATCTTTTATTGAGGACCTGGCAAATGTTGGCTCTTTAATAAATGCCACTTATAATCTTAAATAGTTTTAATGTTATATCAAATAGAACTATTTCTAGTCATGTATTTTAGCAATTTGGTTTTAAGCCATATAATAAATTAATGACTTTTTTCAATTTTAAATACAAACGGCACTATTGAGTCTATTAACATTTTAGAAAAATTTATTTTCAAGATAATTTCTTCACTGGCCTATAACAATAAAATGGAAACTGATGCTTTTTTTTTAGCTGTAAAGAACACCGCCAGAGCGGGTATTATGAAACATCAAAATGGCCAGAAAAAAATGGGCAAGTGAATTTTAAAGTCTGTTTTTTTCTCAAAGGTTTTTCTTTTCTCCAAAAGAAATATATATTTTGCATGTTTAGAGATTTAATTTCTTTCTGTACAGACATTTTAGGGATATACCATGTTAGGGGTATTCTGGTAATAGCAAATGACTGAGCCTCAGCTCCTACACTGGACAAGTTTTTAGATGAAATTATTTCATATTATATCATATCATGTCATATTTATATTATATTTTAATATGATGAGTTCCAGCAGAGTGTAGCCATACCTGAATGCAGAAGGATGAATTTAATGATCCCTTGATTTCTATTCCAATTGAATGGTTCTGTAATGGAGAATAAGGTATCAAGATACCATCATTTTTGGAGGCCATTCCCTGCTATAACAGGACAGAGTATCATGTGCTGATGGGAAAGGATAACTAGAATAAAACAATTGTCAAGCACTTTCATTTTTGCAATTGGTTAGCTGCGCAAATACTTCCATTTTTCAATGGATTGTTACTCCTTAATGATAATGAAAAATTTATCATTCTTTGTAGGCTATTTTTTTCCACTATTCAAATTATAATCATTAATTCCCATTCATTTAAATAAAAGAAACACAGGCACGTAACCTAGAAAAGAGACTCTCTTGAATTTGCTTTTCCTCCCTGGTGGAAATAGGGGTTTGGGCTGTCAGGTAGACTGAATCTTAGGGACTTAAACAAACGAGGATTTGGGAGGCCACCTCCAAAGGCAGGCTCTGAAACAGAGACTCAGGCCTTTTACGTTCTGCCAAAACTAGAGTCGTTCTCAAACTGTTTTAACTTGTGATTATTTTCTCTTGTTGCCTTTTCTTTGAAAATTAATTGTGGATGTGAAATGGCCATGTTTAAATAATTCATAAAAAATAAATCCAGAGGAAAGTGGCAAAGGTATAGAGAAACCTGGTGAAGTACAAAGCAGGGGTCGAGTTAGTTGTAGTTCTCTGAGAGGTTTTCTTACTCTGGAGTGCTTAATTAGGCCTGTCTGCCTGTTTGGCCCTAGGTTGGTTTTGTTCTTTCAAGAGAGCTGTTGACCTACTACTACATTAAAACACACTGAGCAGTAGCTTCTCATGGTTCATGAAAACATTTGTAAATACTGTTATTTTGGCATTGGAAAAAAAATCATCACCTTCTGACTGAGGGAAACTCATACATTTATAATTGTATTTTTTAATGTTATAGAATAGCCATTTAGCTCTATCAATTATGCAAACCAGTTAGACAACATTGTTTAATGTAAGCAACTAAATGCCTGGAAGATCCTTAACTATAAAAACAAGAGCTACTGCAAGTTTTGGAGATTCTTCCAATCAGACAATTAATTTAACTAACTCAGCAGAGCCTTTATAAGGTTTATAGCTCCTGGAACTATTGCTACGCTTCCAGAAGCATTTTAAATGTTACATCCTTAAAACTTCTAGATCAGTTAGTTTGTGATAGAAGGCGATCTTTAGGTCTAAAATTACTTTTTTTGTGCTGATAGAGGATTTCAGTAATAAGCTATTTTTTTTATAAAAAAGAACTAATTAGTAACTCATATCCTAGAGAAAGTGCATGAGATTGGTTAGACTTTCACCATCATGCTGCCTGAGAAGTTTTACTATGTTCTTCATAGCCCCTCCTCAAATGTAAGTGAGCAGCTAGAATAGTAAGAGCAAAGTGTTTCAATGGTGCTTTGAGGAGATGAGTTAGGTTTCCATCTTCTATTAAGTTTGCTGAACACTCCAGGATTTTAAAACCAAAGCTATTCAAATATGCACTGCTTCAATTATTCAATATGCCCACTTTAATTTCCCATAAAGAATACCATGGAGTTTCCTCTTTCACATAGTACTAAATATGTTTTCATCTAATATTCTGTTATTGAAAAGAGGTCTTCAAAATTAGTGTTCAAAAAAATCCATCTGGCTACTTAAATGCAATCATGTCTCTTTTTGTTTCCCCAAGTCTCTGATGAGGAGATGTTTGTCATTTAATTGCTACCAAGGATCACAGATGATGGTTTATAGGTTTAGGCAAATTGTGGGCAGCACTTTGTTAACAAACGGAAGAACACACTGGTACTTCATAATTATCCTATAGAGCTCAATTGGCCCTTAACGGCACCTGCCCGAACAGCATCCGGGAGCCTTGTTTCAACACAAAACCTCCTTCTTGTTAATTAACCTGTGTGCACTTGTTACAAATAAAAGCTATTTGTTTCCCGTTAATATATTTGCTGCTACTTTAAATATTCATTTATTATTATGCTTGTTAAGTGAAGGGTGGAGAAAAATAGTTTGGATTACTTCCATCAGTGTGCACTGAGCTTTAAGAGATCAACAAATAGACTTATATTAGTCAATTATGTTGCTATGTGCTTAGTAGACCCCCAAATTTGCTTAAGAAAAATGAGTATCTCTCAACCATGAAAGCAATACAAGGGGCAATTGAAAAGCAAGGCATCCATGACAGTAATCAGTGAATTTTCATTAAAGGAGAATTTTCTCTGCAATTCATGTGAAGCTTGATTTCATTTCTCAATCTGCCTCATGGCTGTTTTGTATGCAAGGGCATTAAGGACTGGACATATGCAAGTAGATGTGTCTTGACTTTCCCTTTGGTTGGTTTCAGCTGAATGAAAAGAAATCATTTGCTTGCTCTTTGTGACACTTTTAGCAAAAGTAACTTGAACATTATAAGGAAATTAAGGTATAGATACCATAATATGTCAGGATATGCTAAATGAAAAAGCAGTAGAAACAATAAATATGTATTTATTTAGCATATTTTATATAAAAGCTGGAATTAAAGTAGTGATTCTTGTAGAGATTAACAAAATTATCATTCAAAATTCTACATCCTTAAATTTTGCATTCTTACATTCTTCTTTTACATTCTTAAAGTTCTGGCTGTCTAAAATTGGTCTTACATATTTGTTATTCTTATTCAAAACTCACTTTGGAAATTTTTCTAAAATTTTCTCAAGGTGAGAAATAGCCTACTTTACAAATTATTTTCAAAGATAAAAAATTATTTTATACTAATGTCAGCAAGGACTTTTAATTTTTATTTGAATAAAATAGTAAAGAGATGTAGCTTTAAAATTTTTCCTTCAGAATATTTTTTCTATTTTTGTTGCATCAACAATCATGTGTATGTGACTTCAGTTAGGTTTGCTTAACTGCATATAGAGAATTCAAAATACACGTAAATATTGATGGGAGAACAATCCCACCACCACCAATTACTTTGATTCTTCTGTTTTAAAATTGGTCCAATAATGCATTTTAGAATAGGTCAATACTGCCTGCTACATAGAGTAATATGTGTAATTTGTTTCTATTCATCATGATCACATAGTTAAGAACAATATGCTTAAAATCTCAACTTGTCACTGTGAAGAATGATATGTAAAATTAGCGAAAGAATTTCTAGAATTTCTATATGGGCATAATATTTGTAAAAGATACATGTTCTTGCCTCCTGGTTTACCATGGACAATGTAATACCTTGGATGTATTATTCATTTGTATTAATTTGTTGGAACAGCACACCTGTACACTATATTGTGTATTTACCAACACAAAAGAGACTGTCTCTGTGCCTAGGCTGAAAAATTTCTCACTGTCCCCTGCAGCACCATTCAGAAAAGAAGTTATTAGAGAAGAAGAGCATGGTTTTCATTCATGCCTCACCAAATCACTTTTCTTTTGAATATTAATTCTTCATAAGCAGCACCAGAAAATATTTATTGAGTATCTGTATGTGAAAAGTATTGTGGAGTTGTTACAAGAAAAACTAATAACACACAATATCATTATACTATTTTAAATTCAACTATCACCCCTTAGGGACAGTTAGCATCGAGGGGCCCAAGGGGGAAACATGGGGGTACATCCTCCTGCCAATGTCCTCTGTGAACTTTGCCCATTAAAATATTTAAATGCATTATGCAACATCCTCAAAAAAAAAAAAAAAAAAAAAAACACCACTGCCCTGGGAATCAGGAACCCTCTCTCTGTTTCCCTTTTGAAAGTAACACACATCCTTGTGCCTCAGTTTATCCTTTTATTCTTTCTTACCTAGCATAACTGGAGAGCCAAGGGGAAAAAAAACCAAACAAACAAACAGATTATTTCACTTGAGTACTGGTGTATATTGGACTCACATAGAGATCCTTTAATCCTTTTAGAGCCCGAGGGCTATATTTAGCACTATAATTAGTATAAAATTATTAGCTCATATTAATTATTCACCCTCATATTAAGTGGGTATTCTTATATCCTTAGAGGTTGCTTTAGTAGCAGAAAAGAACTTTAAACTTCATAGTAATCTATCACTTATCTGCACTCCTATATTTCCTATTATCCACGTCGTTCTGATTAACAACACATATGCTGCCTTGAATTACTATAAAAGATTGCATTTATTTATATAATAAATGCTGTAAATATATATAATTTATGCATATGTTCTGTCAGCCATTAATAGAAATAAACTATATAAATCTAGCACTCACATATAAACCGAGCAATCACATAGCATTATTAATAAAAATTATAACACTAAGTCCCTGTGTCTTTTAGTAATAGTCTTGTTACTTATCTGAGCCCATTTAGGCATTTGCAATTACTAAGTTCTTCTAGGTAGATACACAAAGCTTCTAATAGTTAGAGGTAGGTGTAAGCTAAAATTTTTCTCCCTCACCATTGCTATCTGATGATTTGTTACAATGAAAGCAATAATTAATCCTGCAACACTTCTCAATATCTATCAGTAAGCAGGAACACACACACACACATAACCTGTTCTGTGAAAACCTCATTATAGAACTTATTATACAAATAAATATGTGCCTACCAATTCAAGCAGCACATATTGTGTCTTTTACTGTGGAACAGACAAAATATGTTACAGGATTCCAGTGGATGAGAATTTATCATGGATTGTGGTAATGGAGGAAACAACCACAAAAGAAGTTAAACTTGAACCTGAGTCCCAAGGAAAGTCAGCAAAGACATTCTAAGCAGGGAGGAACCAACAAAAGTCCAGAGGTGGAAACATTTTAGGCACGCTCACTGTTTGTGGAATTGGACTTTTCCTTCTTCAAGCCATCAAAGTTGGAACAACATTTTGAACATAAGGAATATTATCATCAAATTATAGGTGTCTTAGCAGCCTTACCACCAAAATTAATTTATTCTAATAGGCCACATAGGCCACATAGGCATAAATATTGTAGATTTTCTATTTTATATGGGCAACTTGACTTTCAGTTCAAATATTTTATAACCTATTTCCTTAAACATGAAAGGCTATGAAAGCACCACCTATAATCCTGTTAGCAGCTCAGTGTGTTACTGCTACTAATAATGTCAAGGAGGCAATAGTCTTTTCCCCATGTTTATTCATTCATTTATGCATGCATAATCAGCAATCAGGGTTAAACAAGTACTAGGTATCCTGCTTTCTGCGAAGCCATCAGCAGCTCCAGTGAGTTGAGGGGAATGGTACTTAGTATCCCTTATCACCTAGTGACTATGATGATAGTTAATGGACTAAGATAATCATCCAAGGCTATGACCAGTGAGTGGTAGATGATACTAACAAGGAGATAGCAGGGGACATTCACTGACCAAATAACTACCCCCTCCTGAGCCCCTCACCCTGCAAAGATTGTTAAATGTTTTCCCACTGGTAAACTGAGAGACTAAGACTTCTTTTAAGGGTGGCCAGAGTGCTGGCTCATTTTGACAATTTCTAAGAGGTAGGCCTACCTAGGACTCTCAAGCTAAATTTAAAATAGAATTGTGATGTACAAAGTAGAAGGTCAGTGAGGTGACTCTATCTTCATATAGTATTTGCACTTATTTTGTAAGGCCATCAGGAGAATTGGCAGGATTGCCACCTGTCCTTCTGTCTGCATTATAAGAAAGCTGAGCTTCTGACTTTGAGGTATGCTACTAGGCTGATTATATGCCCAGATTTGATCAGGACAGTCCCAGTTTTTGTCAGTTGCCCAGGTGTGTAATTATTAACAGCACCTTACTTTCTTCTTAAAAGTGCCCCGCTGACACAATAAATTATATGGTCACATTACTACTAGCTGACTTCACCCTTGGATAATAGCTATCTATTCTTATCAACTATTTGGGAAGGAAGGCTTCTGATAGGTTAAAATGTTTCTAACCAAGGAGAACTGCTATAGGGGTTTCTGGAGCTAATTATGTGATACTAAACACAGTTTGATCAGCAGAGCTATTAATACATCAGGGAAATGAATTACCATAGCCCAGTGGTCGAGAGCACAGACTCTGGGGCCAGGCTCTCAGGTTCACATTCCAGTGCTGCCACTTTCTGCTCATGTGACCTTGTCCTCCCTAGTCTCAGTTTCCTCATCTGTAAAGTGGGAATGATAAGAGTACCTATCTCATACTGTATCAGTCCATTTTCACATTGCTAATAAAGACATACCCAAGACTGAGCAACTTACAAAAGAAGAGGTTTAATTGGACTTGAAGTGGCCCCTTTCAGCCACAGTTGGAGCAGCTGGGACGCAGGGCACCAAGTCCCTAGGCTGCACACAGCATGGGGAACCTGGATGCAGCCGATGAAACCACTTTTTCCTCCTAGGCCTTGGGCCTGTGAAGGGAGGGGCTAACATGAAGACCTCTGACATGCCCTAGAGACATTTTCCCTGTTGTCTTGGGGATCAACATTTGACTCCTCGTTACTTAAGTAAATATCTGCTGCCAGTTTGAATTGCTTCTCAGAAAAAGGGATTTTCTTTTCTATCGCATTTTCAGGCTTCAAATTTTCCAAACTTTTATGCTCTGTTTCCCTTATAAAACTGAATACTTTTAACAGCATCCAAGTCACCTCTTGAATACTTTGCTACTTAGAAATTTCTGTCACCAGACACCCTAAATCATCTCTCCCAAGTTCAAAGTTCCACAAATCTCTAGGGCAGGGGCAAAATGCCACCAGTCTCTTTGCTAAAATGTAACAAGAGTCACCTTTGCTCCAGTTCCCAACAAGTTCCTCATCTCCATCTGGGACGACCTCAGCTGGGACCTTACTGTTCATATCACTATCAGCATTTTTGTCAAAGCCATTCAACAAGTCTCTAGTAAGTTCCAAACTTTCCAACATTTTTCTGTCTTCTTCTGAGCCCTCCAAACTGTTCCAACCTCTGCCTATTATCCAGTTCCAAAGTTGCTTCCACGTTCTCGGGTATCTTTTCAGCAATGCCCCACTCTCAGTACCAATTCACTGTATTAGTCTGTTTTCACGCTGCTGATGAAGACATACTGGGCAATCTACAAGAGGAAGAGGTTTAATTGGACTTAAAGTTCCACGTGGCTGGGGAAGCCTCACAATCATTCTGGAAGGCAAGGAAGAGCCAGTCGTGTCTTACATAGATGGCAGCAGGCAAAGAGAGAGAGCTTGCACAGGAGAACTCCTCCTTTTAAAACCATCAGATCTTGTGAGACTTATTCACTATCACAAGAACAGCATGAGAAAGACTTGCCCCATGATTCAATTACTTCCCACTGGTCCCTCCCACAACACATGGGAATTCAAGATGAGATGTGGATGGAGACACAGCTAAACCGTATCACATACCCTCAATAGGGTTTCAATGAGGAATGCATGAATTAATACGTGTAAAGTGCCTAGAACAGTGCCTGACATACTGTCGATTATATAATAAGGGGTTCTTCTCATCATATCATCTATTAAAAAGATAGACATGCATAAATTAACAGTCCTACTATAGATGCAGCCTTCATTGAGCAATATCAAACATAACTTCAATAGACTACAGACAATTTGATAGTCTACAAAACAAATGACAGGTTGCTATAAGCTATAATTAAGATATTTGAGATCTATATCATAATAAAAATAAAGGTTTTGTTTACAGTAACACTCTGAGCTTATGTGAAGTGAAACTTTGTCTTTTTTTCTTAATCTCACTGACCAATACAAAAATATTATTGTGCTCTGTTTTATTATTCTCAAGATACAAAGAATTCTAGTATCTTAATGTTACACAGCATATTAAAATTTTTGATCTTCTAATACTCTAAACCCTCACTTATATCTCCCCAGCTCTGCATAAAAGGTACCATATATATTTTTGATTTGGGTATGCCACTAAACCAGATATATTTTATTATACACTTTTGAGAAAATACACGTATAACTTGAAAAAGAATCACTGATAAATAATTGGATACATTAAATAGATAATACTTGACTGTTGGTTGTTGAACTGGGGATTAAGATATCAGATAGTTCCCCAAAGTAAATACCTTGATTGAATGATCACAACGGAATTTATAAATTAAATACAAAAGATTACGTTAATGTGATATAAATGGGAACATGAGAAAATATCAAAGTTGAAGTTTTTGTTGGAAAATGAATTTGAAATGATCTCTTATGCATATGCAACTTTTTAATACATACTCTCTGAGGTACATTTACACTCACATTTAGAAGTCTAATTAGTAATAAAAAGGGAAGAGTTTGTAATGATAGCACCCTGCTCTTAGGGTCCCTATTACAGATTCTGAAAACAAATTCATTAATATCTTAATCTACATTATATCATTTTCAGTACGCAAATACTTCAGCCCAGAAGATGTAAACTTTATTTATTTGCATTTAACCTGTAAGGTTGAAGCCTAGAGATCTTGTTTCTTTCAAAAATCAGGCTTTTGACATTTTTCTCCTGCCAAACAAAAGATTTAAAAAAGAAGTAGCCAAAATGCTTTTAAATACGTCCCTTTTTCTAATATGTGCTGTTTCTTGAGAAGGCTAAGAGGCATTTAGGTAGAGAACCATCAAAAACATTGCTCCTAATGCCTCTCTTTTAGGCTATTACTGGTAGAATCCCTCTTAACCCTTGAGGCAACTCAACAATTGAGTTAAGGAGATTTTCGTGTATCGGTTTTGCCTGTCATATGGTTGACTTAACTTCAGAATATACTTTGCAGCTGAAGGTTCATTTCCCTCAATTTGTTAAGTGGCTAATTATAAAGGTTCACAAAAGAATTGACACAAGGGAAAGAGATGAGCCTGACTTCTATCAGCTGCCCCAAGGGACCTGTACAAGTGTCATCTGTAAAAACAGAGCACAAATTAAACAATGGCCATAATAAGCTGCCAGGAGCAGGGGTGTATTGAAAGGGGAATTCTTATGTAGATGCAAAGCAGGCACTAAATGGCTGGGACTTTTGTTTATTTTTTCACATTGACAGCTAAGGTCCAATGTAAGTAATTGTATTTAAGCTTCTGCTGCAAAAATAAAAGTTTAAACCTGAGTTGACCAAAATAAGAGAAATAAGAAGACAACTCTTTATTTTGTATCTGCAGCTGACATATACATATTTTTCTCTCTACAATATATTGGAAATAGTTTTGAAATCCAATAAAAACCTAGCTATAATTTCTGAATAAGCAGATATTTTAAATAAAGTTACTAGAAATAGTAACCACAAATATGAGTATGAGATGAAACATCTATTTTCCATCAGATCAGAAACAAATATTTTCCATCAGATAACTTGATTTTCTCTTTACAGGCAGTGCCATGAATTCTAAATATCCGCGTTTTTAACATTTGAAAAAGCATAAACAACAAAGAAAACTCTCTTTACTTGGAGCTATGATAGCTAATGAAATGAAATGAAAATTGCTGCATTGTTTCTACCTTTCATCAAAACATCTCTGTGCATAGTATTTGCATCATTATGTAAGACATTTGCAAATATGTATAATGGTTTTGCCTATGGGAAAAGTCTCCTACTCTAATGTATTCCTGAAAGATAAATGAACAATTCTTTAGGTATGATAAAAAGATTCAGAGGGTTGGATAGAGCAGTGATATTAAAACTACAAGCTCATCATTTAAGTTTTTTTTTTTAAATGTCAATTGCTAACACTGCAGGTCTGTATTTTACTTAGTTTTTTTTCTCTGCAAACTCACCACCTCTTTTCCAATTTCTTTTCTGATTCAAGATACGCAACATCCTGTTTGCCGGAGCTGCCTGCTTTGATACGTCAGCAAGGATCTTGTGAAGTTAAAAGTATTTGGTTTCAGATCTCAGATCTGAATTTTTGCCTGAACTCCGTGTTTTCAGTTGTCTTGAAACAATGGCTGAAATTTGGCCATCAGCAGATATCCAACCCATTGCATTGTTCATCCACTGAATTTAGTAATCAGAGCAAGACCTGATTTTTAGAGCATATTACCCACTGATATTGAAATTATAAAAATGTGAAGAGAGATTTTATCATATTTTTTAAAGATAGGAAGTAGATGGAGGGTAATGGATTTAACCCACGGGGTAACAGACTTACCAGAGTGGAAGTAGAGTAGGGTAGAGCAGAGTAGAAGTAGAACATACCTGCTGGCACAGGGCGGGCAGCAACACAGATGAGCTAGATTGCCCAATAAACCCCTGAGAGATTCTGCACTGGAAACATCAGGTATCTGATGGGTACAAAGCCAAAAAGACATGCTTGGGCTAAAATTGTACGTATGGTCATAGAATCTCCCAAGGAGATTGGAGTTTTATTTTCTGGGAGAAACTGGGCAGAGTGTTCCCAGATTCAGGTAGAATAGAAACAAAGGCGGTCAGGATTGGGGTGTGGAGCTGATAACAGAATAATTCCTTTAAGAGAAAGCAGGCTCGTAGAATACCCCCACCAACCAGCAGGAAGCTGAAGGAGTCTTCTGTAGTGGAACTGGTCTGACTTTTAGAGATCTTCCAGTGAAAGGGTCATGTTGCTTCCTGTTGAGCCCACAGTCAAGCCCTTAGGTGCACAAGTCCCATCCACAAATTTGGAGCCTCCAATCTGCTTTTAATGCCTCATTCATAAACCTTAACAAGCAACGAGGGATCACTGGGCATTGGGTTAAAGCCTCCATTATGAAAATATTATAAAACAATAATACAAGAAAAGAATTCAGAGCAGAAAGACAACACAGAGAACAGAAGAATTAAAAATATCTTTGGAGAGTTAACAACAGGTATTGTGTTCATAAAACAAGAACGGGGTGCTGTGAAAAGAAACTATCAGAGAATCACAAAGAGCTATTATAAATTAAGAATAAGAAAGGCAAAATGACAATTTGACAGAAAGGTTGATAAAGGTAAGAAAAAGTCCTCAAAGTATATCAAAAAAACACAAAGAAATGGAAAGTGTACAAATTTTAAAAATTAGTCAAATGAGAAGACACCATATTTTATTAATAGAAGGTCTAGAGAGATTAAGAGAAATAGAGCAAATGAAAGTACCTAAGAAATAACAGGAAAAACATTCAGAACTGAAAGACAAGACATTTGTCTCCTGGTTATAAGAATATTGCAAGTACCCAGCCCAATTAATAAAAAAGAGAGACCAAACCAATGCATTACCAAGGCACATTATCATGAATTTTCAGAACACTGAGGATAAACACAATATCTTAAATACTTCAAGAAAGAAAGAAAGGAAAGAAAAAAAAGGGATAAGAAAAAAACCTAGGACAAAACAATAGATCGCATATAGAGAATAAAGAATTAGAATGGCATTGAATTTCCCAAAAGCAATATTGGAGACTAGAAGAAGAGGAAAAATTGCTTTCAAAATTCTAAGGCAAAATGACCATAAACCCTAAATTTTGTATTATTTAGCATTCTCAGTGGGGTCTGAGAGTAGAATAAATATATATTTAAACATATTAGGACTCCAAAAATGTTACCTACCATTACCTTTTTTTTTTTTTAGGGACCCACTGCAGGTTACATAATTCAGAAAAAGTAGGAAATAATTCAAGAGAGAGTTACAGAATATACATACTCTAATGTTAGAGTGAAAAGATGTCCCAGTTTATTTGAACAGTCTTGGTTTAGCTCTAGTGTTTGGACATAATTGTAAGTAACACTCCTTTTATTCTCAAAAGTGTCCTCTTTATTTCTAAACGGTGTATACTAATCTCATATTTTATGATGTTCAAGATTCTTAATCAAATTTCCTCATTTTGGTTCAATGTGAAAAAACATGATGAAACCAATGATTCAATTTAGATAAATTCTGGGAAATGAATTAGAAAATATACATGATTATCTTGTAGCTATGAGATAATCATGCTGGGAGTAAACTTCTCATTAGCAGATGCAAGTTTCCTTCGAGTAAAGTTAGTAATGAAATAAGACAAAAATATGTAAAAATAAGTTTTCAACATTCATAAACTTTATTCAGATGTTCTACTCATTTTTGCTTCTCATATAGGTCAGCAGAAAATGCTTATCCAAAGATTCCTCTCATAATACATGGCATCTATAAAGGTGATCATAAGATGCTAATATGTCAATCCCAGTGATGTAACTTTTAAGTTCTTTGGGTTTATTGCCAGTTGCCTTTGCAGTAGCTAAAATATTGATCTCTTTATTTGGAGCCTAGAAATGAAAATGTCTAAAGCATATACTTCTTTTTAAAGACAGCCTAAACATAAAAATTAGCTCATTCAGAGATCTGATGCATGCACCCATCCCAGCCACTGTGTTAAGTGCTTCCCGTACACCCAGGGAGATGGTTCCATTCATGAACTCCAGAAGATTTGGTTGACAGTGATTCAAATTATGATTATGCCTCTTATTACCTGCATGACCTCTGGGAAACTTACAAAACCCTCTATGCTTTAGTTTCTCTATCTACAATTTCTCATAATTTGGTGTTTTACATTTTTTTTGCCAATCTCTGTTTTGCTATATGAATATTTCCCAAATATGGTTGTATTACTAAGCCTTTATTGGAGTCATGTTGATAGGTTCATCTTCTTTCCCCCAACATTGAAAGAAACTATGCTGCATAGTTTAAAATATTAGTGCATGTTGTAACTTGATCACAACCAACAGTAATTAATGTAAAAGGAAAGATACTGTGATTCTTGCCACACTTCCCTACCCCTGCCTACCTTACAGTGGGAACAAGCAGTTAACTTTATGACCTCACCAGGCCGCTGAGAGAAGCCATGGATTCCAGATATTTTCCTATTGATAGAGTTAAATATAGCATTTAAAAAGCCAAGAACCTAGAAAATGTGAAAAGGAGAAATAACTCACCTGGCACACTATGTTTACAGTTGGTGTGCGTTGGTTTTGAAACCATCACACGAGGTTATACGGTCAAACAGCAAGACTGAGTTACGTAACCAGATGATAGGTTTATGTTGACAAAGTTTCTTTACAAAGATGAAAGAACTAACTTCCTAAATACTTATCACCATCTTTTAAATGTGTAGCTATGTGATAATTTAAGCATAATTTTGTTGACATCATTTCTTTTAAGATTTTAGGATAAAATATATGGTTTGTTGTTTTCTGTTTTTTTTTTTCTTTTTCTTTTATTTTCATGTGGCAAGTGACGATTAAAGAATTAAAGTTTTCTGGTGAATGAAACAGCCAGACCACTTTTCATGACAAAGTTGGTAATTAGAAGGCCAATTTAATGGTGAATCAGGCAGAAATATTCAAACCATGACAAATGACTTTAATAATGCAGCTTGCAATGCTCGAACAGAAATAAATTTCACTTCCTCAAACTCTCGGCTTTTTCTGCCTGCCTGGAAGATAGAACTGTCCAGGAGGTATTTTGTACCCTTTATTCAGTAAAGCTTTTACTAGATTTTAAGCGACCAAATAGCTTGCAAATGCAAAACATCATTCAATTTCGTATGATTTTTTTTCCTGAAGGTAGACCGTGTTCAGAATTCTGAGTAAGTCAAGATTTATTTTTCTTCTGTCCTGCTTAGCCCTGCAATAGTGTTTTATTGTTGCCACTCTCTGACTTGAGGTATTAAAGGGAGCTGCATTGGCCTCAAAATTGAAAGCTAATTTTGGTGTTTGTCATAAGTTTGTTAAGACCACATGCATTCCACAGTTTGAAAAATTTCATTATTCTGTCCATGCTGGGGCTTCGTAATTGGATAGTAAGGATGTTCAAAGACTAATTTAGTGAATTGCACAATATTTTAAATGGAATCATGCAGGTTTATGGGTCCTTGGGGGATTCAGCTAGGAGCCTCTCGAGAAAATCTGTTTATCAGTAAATGATATTAGCAGCTTTCACCTAGCTTTTGTCTTCATTAAATTGCTGCTCTCCCAATTGAGGGTCACATCTGAGGCCTGCTTTGATAATTTGTCATTATTGTCTTGTTTATTGGAGCATAAAGTTGATACAGGCTGGGCTGTGCTGTTTATACACCATGTGCAAAGAAGTTTTTATTAACAATTCCACCAGTGCTAAATCAAAGTGGAATTTTTTAGGGTTCAAGAAAGGGAATCATTTGTAGCATTCTAATTTCCTCTAAAACTCTCTGAGTCCATGCCATGCCCCCTTCTCTAACATGTATAACACATAATGGCATTGCTAGAGCCAATTCTCCACAGGCATTTTTTAAAAATCCATTTTTGTCTCTCAAAATAAGGTTAAATTTTGAAATCCTTTTCATAGTATTGGCCTGTCATATAAAACCGAATTCATGCAATAGACTTCCCTTAAAGTATAACATTTACAAATAATTACCATTAACTGTTTATCTTAAGAGACTTGGGGGTATAGTTATTAAAATTATTAAGAAACGTACTATTTATTGCAGTGCAGTCAAGCATACTTTTCATTGCACTTACATGTTTTAAGTGGTAAAGGGGAATTCTTTAAAACTGTGTTCATGACATATTTGAAAGTATCACTGAGTATGTTTAAAATCATACCCACATCAATGCACAGTTTGTTTCTGACTGTGATTTACATGTGGATTTCCATGATGTGTTCTTTCCCAGTGATGATGTGGGGCCTAGAACTGGGAAACAGGGCAAGTAGACTCTATTTTCAAACAAGTCTCCGGTTCAATCTGCACATCTGGGCAATTTGCGCATGTCATGACTGCCTCTGTTTCCTAGTAGAACCGTCTCATGGACTCTCATCTTCCCTCTGCATGTGAGCTGAGGTTCATTCATCTCATTGATAGGTTCAGACAAATCTGCCTTTCCACCTCCATCTTTCATGTCTTCACCCTCCATCCTCAGTCCCTTATCCACACCCACCCCCCCTATGAAGCAATAATGTTTATTTCTCTAAGAGGGACTGGGCCTAGCAGTAAAGAGAACAGAATTTCAGCAGTCGACGCACAACATGCTTTCGTGATACAAGTTAGGAGAAAGAATGCTGATTCCCAGCAACACCCGTGGGGAATTCCATGGAGTCCACCTGGGCTAGTTGCCACTCTGCAGGTATTTTATTTTGCACAGCCAGTATTCCCACTTCCTGAACTGCTCTTAGCCCTACTCTCCCTGAGATGGGGGTTAAGGAGAGCCAGTGCTCACTTGTAGACCTAACTGTATCCTACACAGTGTCCATAGGGGTGGAGAAGATGCCAGAAAGGAAAAGGCTAACCCTTCAAGTATAAGGACAAGTAGAAATAGTAAGTTTCAACCTCTCAAGGGCTCAGAATAATGGCTTAGGCTTTCCTTATGGTGGCTCATGCCTGTAATCCCAGCACTTTGGGAGGCCAAGGTGGGTGGATCACCTGCGGTTGGGAGTTCGAGTCCAGCTTGGCCAACATGGTGAAACCCCATCTCCACTAAAAATACAAAAACTAGCCAGGCTTGATGGCAGGTGACTGTAATCCCAGCTACTGGGGAGGCTGAGGCAGGAGAATCACTTGAACCCTGGAGGCAGAGGTAGCAGTGAGCTGAGACTGTGCCATTGCACTCTCCAGCCTGGGCAACAAGAGCAAAACTCCGTTTCAAAAAAAAAAAAGAAAGAAAAGAAAAATAAAGTTCTCACACAGGCCGGAAACCCAGCCAACCTCATTTTTATATACTATTACCTAGCACATCTTTTCAAAGATTTATGGTTATTATCGCCATCTACTCACCCACATAATCACTAGCCTTTCACTTTAAAATGGTTAAAAATTGTCTCATGGATTGCAGATCATTAATGTAAATTAGACTATTTCTATATTTGATTTCTTAATTTTTAAAAGGAAAAGAACAGCTCACTCTCACACACATACACACACACACTCTCTTTTTTTTCTTGAAAATTTTAAATGGCTCTCCAGACACCTCTTTCAATAACTCTTACCCTCCAAAGCTGGGCTGCATTTTAATTTCACTTTAAAATAGCTACATTGGGACCATAATATGATCAGAACTAATGAATATTGTGGAGAGAAGCAAAAAATTTTATTTAAAATCTTTAAGAAGTATAAATACTTCATGTGAGTAAGAACCTGTGGTTTATCCCAGCCCAGTCAAGGACTCAATTTTGATTCTGAGGATAAATCACTGAGCTCATCAGACCTCACTTTCTTCTGCTCAAAAAGTTCATGACTCCAGAGGTTTCTTCACAGAATGGTAGAAAGCAATCGTATTAAAATGAGTTGCCATCTCTAAATAATAATTATAATAATAATGAGAATCTTTTAGGTGTTAAGGCAGCCAAAGCTACTCACATATTGGATCTAATAAAATCGTGCTTCTTTCTAGACACCAAAAACGTTAGCAGAATGGCATCAAAGAGAAATTATTTAAAAATTACCAACATATAATGAACATTTTAAATTGACCTAGAAAGTTTTTTTTTCTTTCAGAAAAATTCTTTATTCTTGACTAGTTTCTTCTTCTGAAACTGGTATCTCAAGCTTAATCTAGACCATCTGGAACTTGCGTGGTAGTCTCTAAATCTAAGATGGCTTTATCAGAAAGAGTTGTCAAGAAGCCGTACTTCTTAAGGAAGTTGCCTTTGGAAATAACTGTTGTTCTTGAAACATCGTTGATCTCCCTAAGACCTTTGCAAGCCTTAGCAAGCCCTGCTGCACTGGAGATCTTTCTTTTCAGGCTTGGGCACTATTCCCAGCTCCTCTGTTATGAGGCAAGAGACAACTTCTCTATGCTTCCTCTCATCACCCACATCCTAAACATTTTGAGGCGATTTCTTCATGAAACACGTTAAGATCATTTGGTCAGGTATTTTGAATAGAGATAGCAAGAACTGTCTTCTGAAAAACAGCAGGATTAATACCTTCTACAGAGTTTTGAGAGGCATCACAAAGAAGCCTGAACATAACTATTAATCTAGATGTCAGGGACCTGAAAACAAATTGTGATTCTGCAACCTTGGGCAATCATCCCCACAACCTGGCTTCATTGCCCTCTATCGTGGAATGATGAGGTATTGGCTTTAGCTTATTGGCTGTTCACCATGACGACCCATGAGCTGCCTCAGATGTTCAAAGAGAAGGATAGCTGAGATTTCCCTGGTGATTTAGACAAGGCAGGGGTGCTCAGATCTGCAACAGTTCAGCGACTGAGTCTGGAGATTCCAGTGTAACCGCTGGAAGCCTCCAGCTTTGTAGGAACACTGACCTAAAGAGAGAACTACAAACTGGCTTGTCAGCAGAAACAAACTAATCTATGTTCACTTTTCTTCTTCTAGCTTCGGTATTCTGATTTTCCGCTTAGTCTTGAGATTGTTTAATTCTGCCACAGAATTTTAAAAGCTAGGCATTTCTGTGGCAGTTCTTATATTTGGTGAGAAATGTTGAATACACAAAATGCTTCTGGCTTTAAAAACATTAGATGTTTTGAAGTGGCAGGTTATATAGATAGACTCTTAAATTTGGGGCAAAGATGATCTACAAGTTCATTCATTGACTTGAATGAAGTTCTATTCATTTTCTTTGGTTGGAGATTTATCTGCATTCTTGTTGCTGTGAAGATATTAGATACAATTGTTACAAATCAATTGATGCTATGTGTCAGGAGCTGGAAGCAGGAGCAGGAAAATCAGGGAAAGGCTAGGAACAGAAAATGTGGAAAGAAAGGGGTCAAGGATTAGAAGATAGCTGATACAGTAATTGTTAAAAGAGGCTTTAAAAATAAATAAAATTATAAATATTTAAATAAATGAGTAAAATAGTTTATATTGTTCTATTAAGCATTTTAATTACATGGCTTTTCAAGTTATTCAGCTTAATCAACAAATGATAAAGAAGTACAATTTATAGGCATGTTTCCTATACCAAGATAAACCACATCAATGAGAATTCTGATTGGTAATGGATGTATCTGGTTCCAGAGGGAAAGGGAGTCTCATTAAGCATGCCCCAGAGAGAAGAGGTCTGTGCTCTCCTGCAGGGTAACATGCCATCTAAACGGGATGGATGCCTCTGTGGCCACATTTCTTCCCTGGTGAACTGCCCATCCAAGCCAAGTCACAATTCTCAAAGCTGCTTTGTCACAGGAGAATAAAACTTCTAAGACCTTCATGCTCCTCACAATTTTCACAATGTGGGAGCATCTCTTAATCTCTCGTCACCCTCAAAAACTGACCAGGCAACCTGCAGGAGGGCAGGTGGAGGCAGTTATCCCCTGTTCTCCCTTGAATTTCTGTACGCTAGTCTGAGCGTTTTTCAAAACTATTCATAGTGTCAGTTCACATTGAATTGTTATTTTTCTATACTGCTGCCATCTCTATTATAGTTCTATTTTATAGTAGGTTCATATGGTAGGTATTGCAGATCATTTTTAAGGACTGCTTTCATTTGAAATTGAGCAATTTAAGTGTTTGGCCAAGTATGCACCACAGAACGTCACTCCCACAAAATTCCCCTAGATTGAAATAAATAGTTGGACAAATAAGTTTGGTAAATGCCACCTATTATCTATCCCTTTTGGTTAGCCACAATGCACATTAGTAAGTTAAAGCTCTGAGAAAAGCACCTATTTTATTGTTTAAATAATTTTAAACAATTTATTAAACTTATTAGTAAGTTTAAATGATAACTTACTATCATTTTTGGAGTAGCATCTATCTTCTTGCTGTATAACCAGTTTTGTGAGGTATATCCTTTGGCAAATCCCGTTTGAGGTACTCCATAAATGAAAGAAACTAACATTTGAGATAGAACAGTGTAGTAAACGAGGACCAAGAACAATTTGTAGAGACAAGAGATACGGCCACCCCATTTTTTAGCCCCACTTAACGTCCCACCTACCACCTGCCCAGAATTGGCCAACAGAAAAACTGGTATTCCTGACATTACTGCCTAGAAACGTTGGGACAAGATTAGCAACAACAGTTAAACATAAGTGTGTTTTGCAGCAAAACAAAATTCCCCCAAGCTACCTAATCCTTAAATCAAGCGGTAGAATTTATGATGTCATCATTCTCAATACCCAAATTGCTATAACTCAAACTATTATTCATATTTTTAAAGCCATTGAAAGTTGTTTCAGAGGCTGTCAAGTTGATTCATCATGTAAGTGTACTCCAAATTGACCTCTTAGGTTTCATACTTCATGCTTTACTTTCTTACAAGAACAAAATTATAAAAATGCAATCTTCAAATCAATGAGGTGACATATTTTTAAAAAAATCGAGTTCTTCTAGCCAAGGAGACTCATCTGGTGACTGTTTTGTAACAGTCACACCCTCTATGCACCA
Source organism: Homo sapiens (assembly GCF_000001405.40). Lineage (NCBI taxonomy): Eukaryota > Metazoa > Chordata > Mammalia > Primates > Hominidae > Homo > Homo sapiens. The sequence continues at coordinate 79,004,435 of NC_000013.11, forward strand.
CACACACACCCAGCACAATGGGAGAAGTTTACAGAAAATGTAGATATTTTTAGTCCTGTATTACAGCTGAAGACCTGACCGCACAATGATGTTATATTCTGTGACACTGAATTTTCTTTTTCAAAGCTACCTTGCTTAGTGAAATTGGACAATTTATCATACAATGGCCTGCAGCAAATTTAGTATATGCAAGTGATTAGTTTGTCTCTTCCCCAAGCAGCTTTGATGCAGCTGGATGAGAGTGGGAGCAGAAAGGGAAGGTCACTTATAACACAAATTCTCTGGGGAACTGCTAATGGACTATTGACCCTCCTCACTTTAGGTCGATGTGTCATATTTGATTCTGGTTTCTTGAGATGCAATTTCCAAGTGGTGACGTTTCAAAGTCTACATGAGATGGGTTGTTCTATCAAGTTCTAAGTGTGGTATTATTCACACCGTGAATGGCAGATGCCAGTTGATTGGACTGGAGATAATTTTACCATTTCCAGCTAGCCCCAAGGCAAAAGGAAATACACTATTGACAACATTGGTTAAGTTAATAACCAACTGTAAATTATATCTTCACCCTTGTACTCAACACCCCTCCTCCCTCCCCGTTTAGTCTGTTTCCATGAGGTCTAGAAAACCAAGTCAACATTTTTGATATGTCACTTGGGTCTATTATTTAAAGTAAATTTAATAGCGCTCTTTCCTGCCAACTAATGACTTTTATTGCATTTCAAGTCTGTGAAGGATGTAAAACTGTTGCAGATAAAATGCTAGGTTCAGACAGTAATCCCTGAAGGTGCAGATAATCCAAAATGCCAAATGGAACAATTGGTCATACTGTTTAAATTAAAGTGTAATACTTTTTTACCCTTGGTAGATTTATCGTTATAATTATACATTTCAAGAACAAGTATTAGAGTGCAGTGGCTCACACCTGTAATCCCAGCACTTTGGGAGGCCAAGGTGGGTGGATCACTTGAGCTCAAGAATTTGAGACCAGCCAACATGGCAAAACCCCATCTCTACATTTTTTTTTAATTCAACAAAAGAACAAGTATTAAATTTGATAAGCATTTGAGAAGCACACTCAAGTCAAGGTATTATCCCTATAGCTCATTTCCTCTAACAGTGGAGGAAAAACCAAACACTCTGGCGGGGAGGTTGGAGGAAGCCAGTGTGGTAACAAAATGCTTTCTTGGCTCAATTGTACACTGATAATTAAGAAATTGTTTTAGGGAGAATCTTTCAGAGGGGTAACGGTTGAGATGGGAGAAAAGAAAGAGAGGAAGAAACAGTAGAGGAAGAGGACAAAGTAGGTGAAAAGAAAAGTCTCAATGGCTCAACAAATGCGGAATTACACCTTGTTCCTCACACTGTACTGCATACAGCAGAGGTCACAAAAGAAGCAGATTTTTCTTGTGCTCGCAATGTGTACCACAGAGCTGTGGATGCGTGCCCTGCAGACACAAGGACATGAACATGGGGAAACCGCAATAAGAGTTGAAAATCAAAAGTTTCCTCAAATTTTCACAACCTCAGGCCATGGTGGTAGATTTAGAAAGTGGGTATATATAGCAAGCTCTCCATGTCTTGTTGCAGTAAACTTATTTTGAAATCATTAATTTAGAAAGAAAGAGGTTTTAGCTTTCCAAGACCCACTAAATTAATGAACCAGGCCAATTTATGGTCTTCCATGTGTTGCTGCAAAGAAAATTCTCCCTGCAGGTAAACCATCTATCTAGAGTCAGAGATAATAGCAGCAATTTATGAGCAGGATCATTAATTATGACCTATGAAATTTTAATAGGTGCCTTCTTTGGATCTTTTGTAGAAGCTCAGATGAAAGTGGCTCCAGACCATTGACACAAACTTGGTTATCAGGAAGTCTGGTGAGCTTTCAAAGATTTGAAATCTCTATGTATTCTTTTATTTCCTTGCTGATATTTTGTTAAAGGCAGCATTATATATAAATATATATAATAAGCTCACATAGAATTTCATTTAATTACTTCTGGTAATTAGACCAGACCTCATCTGTTTCATACATTTGTATTTCTAAGAGAAGATACTTCTTAAAATTATAATTAAGAGAAGGCATGGTATAGTTGAAAGATAAATGAACATGAAATGATCTGCATTTATTCCAGGCCTGTCATATAACAAAAGCAAGCCCTTAGGCAACTGACTTAAGTGGTCTGGACCTCAGCATCTTATTTGTGCAAGACACTGGTGTCTAATTCATTCTTATTTGTGTGAGACACTGGTATGGCATAAGAGCTAACTGGAAAACAAGGCAACATCTTTGCTAACATGTTTATCTTTCAGATCTAAAATCCTGTGGATTCCAGGAAGATGGAGGTAATAACAGTACCTACCTCATAAGTTTGTGAAGACAGATAAGATAATCCTGGCAAAGCAACTCAAAGGATACCTAGGACACAGTACACATTCTATAGGTGTTCATTCTTCTCTTATCATCATTATTATTTCTGCTACATAGGAAAAACTAGGCACTTATAAAGAAATCTTAGTTCAAAATTCTCTAACAAAATGGAATAAATAAAATTAAAGATCAATTACATGGTACATTGGGTGCTTCTAATGCCATGTAGTAACTCTACTAGATAGTGTAGGTGTTATAGGTGTATAAGAGCTTGCTCCTATTATTCCAGGATTTATACTTTTTTTGTCTGTGTGCATGGAGAATGGAAGCTCTTCAAGTAAACAGAAATATAGAACCACAACAAAAAATAAGCAAAAAAAAAAAAAAAAAAATCTGAGTATTCTTAAATGCCTCTCTCAGGATCCTGTCAAAATTGACTGACAGGACATAAGGACTTCAGAGAGAAATAGAAATTACGGGACTGGCCTGGCCAGTTTTCTACAAGACTAGGCTGGTCAGATGAACAGTTAAGTCGAATGGGCTTCTATATATGACAGAGGTAGTCAGGAATTATTTTACTGTTCATTTAATTCTTGAGTCCAGCTTGGAACATTTCTTACTATTTATCTAGGAAAATTTTCCCATGTCCTAAACCCTGTTAAAATTACAAATTACTATCAAAATTATTTAGCCATCTGGTTAAAATTATTTTTTATTTTCTTTAAATAAATGGCCTACCAGTCAAGGTATTGTTTTCCAGCTACCTGTTTCACATCTCAGCAGTGTGCCAAATTGATGACTAGTGTACTTTGTCAGACTGGGATTTCCAGTCTGGCTCAAAACCTACCCTGTATGGGTGCTGTGATGTTCAATCTCTGTCTTCTCTATACACCACTGGCACCATGGAAGACCTTCATCTGTAGTGTAGGTCCCTTGAGTTCACATTCATCCTGACCCTGTCAGAAGGTCAGCAGCAGTTCAGCCCACAGTGGCAGGAGAGGGGCCCTGCTGCCATTGATTTCATCTCCACTATTTCTTTCTCTGCTCTCCTCTCTTTTGCCCTAGACCGCAGTCAGGATTACAACCTTGATTTCCCTCCAGGACTCCAGTTGCAGCTGGAATTGAAACTCTGTTCTCATCTCTGAGCTGCTTGAATGAATCTCCATATCCTGGCCAGCGGCTGGGTCTTGGCTGTGAAGGAACTGACCAGCCACCATGCTTTGGTATCACCTGCTCCCTGGATAATAACTGCAGATCTGCATGTCTGGACTTATTCAGATACAGGACAAGCTCAAGAACACCACACCTCTTTGCATCTTGTATGCAAGGACCAGTCTCTGAAACCAGTTTTATTTCTCCAAGCCCCTTTCTTACCTTGTCCAGCGTCTTCCTCACCACCTGGCAGGGTTACTGATGCCTCCACTGGCTCAGCAGTCAGATAACTAAGACTATTCCCCTGTGAACCTTTTGCTGCTTCTCCACACCATCTAAATCACCACCAGCAGATACTAGGATATCACTAGAGTTTCCCTTCTGTATTAGTCCGTTCTCATGCTGTTGTAAAGAACTGCCCAAGACTGGGTAATTTATAAAGGAAAGAGGTTTAATTGACTCACAGTTCTGCATGGCTGGGGACGCCTCAGGAAACTTACAACCCATGGCAGACAGAGAAGTAAATATGTCCTTCTTCATGCGATGGCAGGGAGGAGAAGTACAGAGCGAAGCAGGGAAAAACCTCTTATAAAACCACCAAATCTTGTGAAAACTCACTATCTTGAGAATCATGAGAACAGCATGGGGGAACTACCCCCATGATCTAATCACCTCCTATGAGGTTCTTCCCCCAATACGTGGGGATTATAATTCGAGTTACAATTCACGATGAGATTTTGGGTAGGGACACAGCCAAACCATATTGCCTTCCTTTCTGCAACAGTGACATAAAATGTCAAGAACTCATTGTTTTATCCTTATTACCTCTATGCCCATTTCTGTTTATAGGCATTGCCACCCTTTGGTCTTACTACATTCCTACCTCTCATGATGCTTTTGTGACCCTGCTCTATATCCCTCACAGCCTCTTGGAAATGCACTCCAGGGAAAATGAAATGTCAAGTAGGTGGTAAGTATATGGCATTTCACTGATTTCTTGGATGAATTGAATCAATGAATATTCAGGGATGGTATTTCATAGCTGTCTATATTTTCAAGTAAAGGAAAGGTCTTTGACTTGCTTACCTTGCAGGCTATTGAGTGGACCAAATAAGATTAAGTACACAAAACCACTTGTCAACTCTCAAGTGCCATACAAACAAAGTTATTCAATACAGTTGAATAATGTTCATTCATTACTAATTTTAGTTTCTAATATGACATTGGATTTATTTATTCTGCTTATGTAGTGGGTACACATTTCTCAGAATTTAGATATGCAAAAAAAGAAAATGTCATTTTACTTTTCTACTATTCAACCTAAACTCTACTTTAAGCCCATTTTACCTAGTATCAGAGAACTTAATTTTTGTCAAACTGGTGCTTTCTGACATTCCAGGATTTCCCCTTCACCATTCTCCCCAGAGCTAATTCAAGTTCTGGGAAACCTGTATCACAGCTAGGCTACTGGGAGTGAGGGCAGGAGAGAGACTTCTGGTTTTTGGCTCACATTGCTCTTTGGTTTAGCCACTCACTGCTGATGTCTGAGTTTTCATCAGCCTCCAGCTGATAGTGCACCCTGCTTTCCTTGCCCTAGGCCCACAGGCTGTCTCTCTGGCATCCTTTCCTCTTTTGGAGTGATGAGATATTTTGGGATGCCCTTACATACCACTCCTAAGACTACCAGAGATTTGAGAAACTGATCATCTGTACTGAAAAACACCATATCACTCCATAATACTATCCTCCTACTCCATAATACTGGCCCAAACTGGCTAAATCTTGGTATTTCTGATTCAGCTTCTTGTCTACAGCCCAAGAAATTCTTTAAGCAAGACTAAGAGAGGAAAAGATTTCTACAGAAAGCTCATTCAGCATTTTTTCACAAGCCTTTTGGATGGCTAATTGGAGCTTTGGCTCTCATACTCCAATGCCCAAACTTCTGAACCTAAACTCTCTTCCAAAACCAATATCCTCTGTTAAGATTTATAAAACTCTATTTAGAGTTTATATTTTGTTCCTCCTTTTCTCAGTGCAGTTTCTACGTCTGCTTCAGATGCTGCCTGCAATGAGAGAAAAAGGTTCTTAGTTAAAAAGAAATTGTCTACATCTAGATTGTGAGGGTTACATAGGTACATGTATCCTCAAATCTCATTGAACTCCATACTTATGTACACTTTCTTATATGTAAGTTATATGTCACTCAAGTTGATTTAAAATATTCAGCCAAATTCATGCATGGATGCACACACATACACACTCACACATAAGATGCCATTGAAATATTATTCCCATTACACTTATCTGATCAACTTTTCCTTCTTTCCTAATCAACAAATCCTAGCTACTGCATGTGATTGGAATAGGCCTTTTACAACTTGAACATTTTTTTTTCTTACGGCATTCCTTTCATCTTGATTTGCTTTTTCACTTTAGAACCACATCAAATATACTCCTCATTCTGCAGTTTTTTTCTTTCCATAAGTTTGATTCTATTAGTTTATATTAGTTACTTTCTTTCTGTTCTGGGTATACAATATATGTTATAGTTTATTCCATAGACATTTGTGTTGAGCTAGGTAAATGAGAGTGTACTCTGGAAACTATTGAAATATTCCAAATGTAATAATTAAGATCCTTGGACCAAAGAAAAATGCGATTAGACAGCTACGTCTCTCTAACCCCCATGTAGGCATCAAATGTTAAATTTTCTATGGCAGTGGCTGTCTTTCCATGTTGGTGCCTCTTTTTCCCAATCAAAATTTATTTTGTTTTTGTTTTTGTTTTGTTTGTGTTATTTTTAACTTTTATTTTAGATTTGGAGATGCACATGCAGGTTTGTTACCTGGGTATATTTGATCCTTTCACCCAGGTACTGAGCATAGTACCCAATAGTTTTTCAACCCTTGCCCACTTCCTCCTTCCCTATCTAGTAGTCTCTAGTTTCTATTGTTACCATCTTTATGTCCATGAGTACCCAATGTTTAGCTTCCACTTATAAGGGAGAATATGCAGTATTTGGTTTTCTATTCCTACATTAATTCACTTAGGATATTGTCCTTCAGTTGCATCCAAGTTGCCGCAAAGGACACGATATCATTCTCTTTCATGGCCAAGTGATATTCCGTGGTGTATATGTACCACATTTTCTTTATCCAGTCCACTGTTGATGGGCACCTGGATTGATTCCCTGTCTTTGCTATTGTGAATAGTGCTGCAAATAATATCCATTTCTTTTGGATATATACCCAGGAATGGGATTTCTGAGTCAAATGGTAACTCTGTTTTTAGCTCTTTAAGGAATCAACACAGAGCTTTCCACAGTGGCTGAATCAATTTGCATTCCACCCAACGATGTATAAGCATTTCCTTTTCTCCACAGCCTCTCCAGCATCTGTTGTTTTTTCACTTTCTAATAATCACCATTTTGACTGATTTGAGACGGTATCTAACTGTGGTTTTGATTTGCATTTCTCTGATGATTAGTGATGTGGAGTTTTTTCATATGTTTGCTGGCCACTTGTATGTCTTCTTTTGAAAAAGAAGTTTATGTTCTTGTTCAGCCTTTTGCCCATTTCTTAATTATTTATTAAGAAAATAAATTTATTTATTTATTTGCTTGTTCAGTTGTTTAAGTTCCTTACAGATTCTGGATACTAAACCTTTGTAAGATGCATAAAGTCCCAATATTTTATCTCATTCTGTAGGTTGTCAGTTTACTCTGTTGATAGTTTCTGTTGCTTTACAGAAGCTCTTTAGTTTAGTTAGGTCCCACTTGTCAATTTTTGTTTTTGTTGCAATTGCTTTTGAGAATTTAGTCAAACTTTTTTCCCAGGGCTGACATCCAGAATGATGTTTCCTAGGTTTACTTCCAGGATTCTTATAGTTTGAGGTCTTACATTTAAATCTTCAATCCATCTTGAGTTAATCTTTGCATATAGTGAGAGCTAGGGTGTCCAGTTTTATTCTTCTGCATATGGCTACCCAGCTATGCCAGCACCATTTATTGAATAGGGAGACCCTTCCCCATTGCTCATTTTTGTCAACTTTGTCAAAGATCACATGGCTGTAGGTGTGCAGTTTTATTTCTGGGTTCTCTATTCTGTTCCATTAGTCTATGTGTCTGTTTTTGTACCAGTATCATGCTGTTTTGGCTACTGGATCCTTATAGTGTGGTTTAAAATCAGGTAATGTAACACCTTCAGCTTTGTTCTTTTGTTTAGAATTACTTTGACTATTTAGGCTCTTTTCTGGTTCCATATGAAATTTAAAATAGCTTTTTCTAGTTCTGTGAAAAATGATGTTGGTAGTTTGATAGGAATAGTGTTAAAGCTGCAGATTGCTTTGGGCAGTACAGCCATTTTAACACTATTGATTCTTCCAATCTGTGAGCATAAAATGTTTTTCCATTTGTGTCATTTCTGATTTCTTTCAGAAGTGTTTTATAGTTTTCCTTGTAGCGATCTTTCACCTTCTTGGTTAGATGTATTCCTAGGTACTTTTTGTGGTTACTGTAAGTGGGATTGCTTTCTTGATTTGGCTCTCAGATTGAATGTTATAGGTGTATAGAAATGCTACTGATTTTTTGTACATTGATTTTGGATCCTGAAACTTTACTGAAGTCGTTTATCATTTCCAGGAGCCTTTTGGCAGTCTTTTTTTTAATTTTTTTTATTATTATACTTTAAGTTTTAGGGTACATGTGCTCAACATGCAGGTTAGTTACATATGTATACATGTGCCATGTTGGTGTGCTGCACCCAGTAACTCCTCATTTAACATTAGGTATATCTCCTAATACTATCCCTCCCCCCTCCCCCCACCCCACAACAGGCCCTGGTGTGTGACGTTCCCCTTCCTGTGTCCATGTGTTCTCATTGTTCAATTCCCACCTATGAGTGAGAACATGCGGCGTTTGGTTTTTTGTCCTTGCGATAGTTTGCTGAGAATGATGGCTTCCAGCTTCATCCATGTCCCTACGAAGGACATGAATTCATCATTTCTTATGGCTGCATAGTATTCCATGGTGTCTTTTGGCAGTCTTTAAGGTTTTCTGGGTATAGAATCATATCATCCATGATATGAGAAATAGTTTGACTTTTTCCTATTCGGATGCCTTTGATCTCTTTCTCCTGCCTGATTAGACTTGCTAGCACCTCCAGTACTGTGTTGCATATGAGTGGTGAGAGTAGGCATTCTTGTCTTGTTCTAATTTTCAGTGGGAATGCTTCCAGTTTTTGCCCATTGGGTATGATGTTGGCTGCGGGTTTGTCATAGATGGCTCTTATTATTTTGAGGTATGTTTCTTCAGTTCCTAGTTTATTCAGGGTTTTTATCATGAAGGATTATTGGATTTTATCAAAAGTTTTTGCACATTTGTTAAGATGATCATATAGTTTTTGTTTGTAATTCTGTTTATGGGGTGAATCACATTTATTAATTTGTTTATGCTGAAGCAACCTTGAATCCCAGGAATGAAGCCTACTTGATTGTGGTGAGTTAACTTTTCGATGCACTGCTGCATTCAGTTAACTAGCATTTCTTTGAGGATCTCTGTATCTATGTTCATCACAGGTATTGACCTGTAGTTTTCTTTTTTGTTGTGTCTTTGGCAGGTTTTGGTATCAGGGTGATGCTGGCTTCACAGAATGAGATAGGGAGGACCCCCTCATCCTCAATTTTTTGGAATGTAGAATTAATACCAGCTCTTCCTTGTACATCTGGTAGAATCATCTGTGAATCCATATGATCTGGGGCTTTATTTTGGTTGATTAGTTTTCAATTACTCATTCATTTTTGGAACTCATTATTGGTCTGTTCAGGGTTTCGATTTCTTCCTGACTTAATCTTTGGAAGTTGTGTGTTTCCAGTAATTTATGCATTTCCCCTAGATTTTCTGGTTTGTATGCATAGAGATGTTCCTAATAGTCTGAGGATCTTTTGTGGGATTGATTGTAACGTCACCTTTGTTGTTTCTAATTATGCTTATTTGTGTCTCCTCTTTTTCCTTTGCGAATCTAGCTAGTGGTCTATCACTCTTGTTTATCCTTTTAAAAAAGCAACTTTTGGTTTCATTCATTCTTTGTATGGAGTTTGAGGGGTATCAATTTTGTCATTTCTACTCTGATTTTAATTATTTCTTTTCATATGCTAGCTTTGAGGTTAGTTTTTATTTTTCTAGTTCCTCTAGGTATGATGTTAGATCATTAATTTTAGATCTAACTTTTGGAGGTAGGTGTTTAGCACTACAAACTTATTTTAACACTGCTTTTGCTGCATCCCAGAGATTTTAGTATGTTGTATCTCTGTTTTCATTTATTTCAAAGATTTTTTTATTTCTACCTTAATTTTGTTGTTCACACCAAAATCATTCAGGGACAAGTTGTTTAATTTCCATGTAATTGTGTGATTTTGAGAGATCCTGGTATTGGTTTCTGTTTTTATTTCACTGTAGTCCAAGAATACGGTTGGTATGATTTTAACTCTTTTGAGTTTATTTAGACTTGCTTTATGGCTGAGTATGTGGTTGATCCTGGAATATGTTCCATTTCTGTGATGGTTAATACTGAGTGTCAACTTGATTGGATTGAATGATACAAAGTATTGATGTTGGGTGTGTCTGTGAGGGTGTTCCCAAAAGAGATTAACATTTGAGTCAGTGGGCCAGGGAAGGCAGATCTACCCTTAATCTTGTGGGCACAAACTAATCAGCTGCCAGTGAATATAAAGCAGGCAGAAAAAAGTGAAAAGGAGAGACGGGCCTAGCCTCCCAGCCTACATCTTTCTCCTGGGCTGGATGCTTCCTGCCCTTGAACATCAGACTCCAAGTTCTTCAGTTTGGGGACTCAGACTGGCTCTCCTTGCTCCTCAGTTTGCAGACAGCCTATTATGGGACCTTGTGATCATGTAAGTGAATACTTAATAAACTCCCCTTTGTATTAGTCCTGTCCCTCTAGAGAACCCTGACTTATACAGTATGCAAATGAGAAGGATGTATATGTCCGGTTGATGGGTGGAGTGTTCTATACTTGTCTACTAGGTCCAGTTGGTTAAGTGTTGAGCTTAAGTCCAGAATTTTTTTGTTAGTTTTCTGCCTTAATAATCTATTAATGCTGACAATGGGGTGTTGAAGCCTCCCACAACTATTATGTGGCTGTTTAAGTCTTTTTGTATGTTTAGACATATTTGTTTTATGAATCTGGGTGTTCCAGTGTTGGGGGGGGTATATATTTCAAATATTTAAGTCTTCTTGTTGAATTAAACCCTTTATTATTATGTAACATTCTTCTTTGTCCTTTTTTACTCTTATTGGTTTAAAGTCTGTTTTATCCTATATAAGAATAGTGACCTCTGCTCTTTTTTTTTTCTTCTGTTTTCATGGTAGATATTTCTTCACCTCTTACTTTGAGCCTATGAGTGTCATTATATGTGAGATGAGTCTCTTGATAACAGCAGACAGATGGGTCTTGCCTCTTTATCCAACTTGTACTCTGTGTCTTTTAAGCGGGGCATTTAGACCATTTATATTCAAGATTAATATTGATACATGAGGTTTTGATTCTATCATGAAGTTGTTAGCTGGTTGCTTTGTAGTTTTGATTATGTGGTTGTTTTATAGGGTCTGTGGGCTATGTACTTACATATGTTTTTGTAGTAGCAGGTATTATTATTTCATTTCATGTTTAGAACATTCATTAGGATCTCTTGTAAACCTAGCCTAGTGGTAACAAATTTCCCTAGCACTTGCTTGTCTGGAAGAGATTTTATTTCTCTTTCACGAATGAAGCTTAGTTTGGTGGGATGTGAAATTCTTGGTTAGAATTTATTTTATTTAAGAATGCTGAAAATAGGATCCCAGTTTCTCTTGGCTTATAAGGTTTCTAACAAGAAGTCCACTTTTGGCAATCTGGGCTTCCCTTTACATGTGATGTAATAATTTTCTCCAGTTGCATTTAAAATATTTTATTTAGCATTGACCTTTGACAGTCTGTTGACTATATGCCTTAGCATTGTTGACTTTTTTATAGTATCTCACAGGAGTTCTCTAGATTTCTTATATCTGGTTGTTTAGGTCTATAGCAAGATTAGGACAATTTTCTTGAATTATTCCCTCAAATATGTTTTCCATGTTGTTTACTTTTTTTCTTTCTCCCTCAGTAATGTCAATAAGTTATAGGCTTGGTCACTCTCCACAATGCCATATTTCTCAAAGACTTTTTTCATTTTTTTATAATCTTTAAAAATTTCTGTCTATGTTAGTTTGAAAGATCAGTTTCAAGCTCTGAAACTCCTTATTCTGCTTGGTCCAGTCTATTTACAGAACTTTCAATTGTATTTTAAAACTTTTTATGTGAGTTTTTCAATTCCAGAATCTCTGATTGATTTCTTTTTAAGATGTTTATCTCTTCCTTTATTTTCTGGATTGCTTTAGAAGTTTCTTTGTGTTGATTGTCAACCTTGTTTTGGATCTTATGGAGCTTTCTTGCAATCCATGCTTTGAATTCTTTTTTTTAATATATACTTTAAGTTTTAGGGTACATGTGCACAACATGCAGGTTAGTTACATATGTATACATGTGCCATGTTGGTGTGCTGCACCCATCAACTCGTCATTTAACATTAGATATATCTCCTAATGCTATACCTCCCCCTTCCCACCACCCCACAACAGGCCCCAGCGTGTGATATTCCCCTTCCTGTGTCCATGTGTTCTCATTGTTCAATTCCTACCTATAAGTGAGAACATGTCGTGTTTAGTTTTTTGTCCTTGTGATAGTTTGCTGAGAATGATGGTTTCCAGCTTCATCCATGTCCCTACAAAGGACATGAACTCATCATTTTTTATGGCTGCATAGTATTCCATGGTGTATATGTGCCACATTTTCTTAATCCAGTCTATCATTGTTGGACATTTGGGTTGGTTCCAAGTCTTTGCTGTTGTGAGTAGTGCCACAATAAACATACGTGTGCATGTGTCTTCATAGCAGCATGATTTATAATCCTTTGGGTATATACCCAGTAATGGGATTGCTGGGTCAAATGGTATTTCTAGTTCTAGATCCCTGAGGAATTGCCACACTGACTTCCACAATGGTTGAACTAGTTTACAGTCCCACCAACAGTGTAAAAGTGTTCCTATTTCTCCACATCCTTTCCAGCACCTGTTGTTTCCTGACTTTTTAATGATTGCCATTCTAACTGGTGTGAGATGGTATCTCATTGTGGCTTTGATTTGCATTTTTCTGATGGCCAGTGATGATGAGCATTTCTTCATGTGTCTTTTGGCTGCATAAATGTCTTATTTTGAGAAGTGTCTGTTCACATCCTTCGCCCACTTGTTGATGGGGCTGTTTGTTTTTTTCTTGTAGATTTGTTTGAGTTCATTGTAGATTCTGGATATTAGCCCTTTGTCAGATGAGTAGATTGCAAAAATTTTCTCCCATTCTGTAGGTTGCCTGTTCACTCTGATGGTAGTTTCTTTTGCTGTGCAAAAGCTCTTTAGTTTAATTAGATACCATTTGTCAATTTTGTCTTTTGTTGCCATTGCTTTTGGTGTTTTAGACGTGAAGTCCTTGACCATGCCTATGTCCTGAATGGTATTGCCTAGGTTTTGTTCTAGGGTTTTTATGGTTTTAGGTCTAACATTTAAGTCTTTAATCCATCTTGAATTAATTTTTGTATAAGGTGTAAGGAAGGGATCCAGTTTCAGCTTTCTACATATGGCTAGCCAGTTTTCCCAGCACCATTTATTAAATAGGGAATCCTTTCCCCATTTCTTGTTTTTGTCAGGTTTGTCAAAGATCAGATGGTTGTAGATATGCAGCCTTATTTCTGAGGGCTCTGTTCTGTTCCATTGGTCTATATCTCTGTTTTGGTACCAGTACCATGCTGTTTTGATTACTGTAGCCTTGTAGTATGGTTTGAAGTCAGGTAGCGTGATGCCTCCAGCTTTGTTCTTTTGGCTTAGGATTGACTTGGCAATGCAGGCTCTTTTTTGGTTCCATATGAACTTAAAAGTAGTTTTTTCCAATTCTGTGAAGAAAGTCATTGGTAGCTTGATGGGGATGGCATTGAATCTATACCGTGACCATTGCTGGAAAGCTGGTATGATCCTCTTGTGGTGTCACTACATCCAGATTTTTTAGGGTGCCCAAATTCTTGTGTTTATTGGTTCCTTCTCATCTGAGACACTAGCACTTCTAATGTTTGTAATTTGTGTGTATGTAGGGTTTTTCCCTTTTCTCCCCCCATAATATTGGGCTTTTTCTTTCCCTTTTCCTCCCCCCTGCTCCTTAGGGGTGAGACTATAGAGAATGCTAGGTAGGATCTTTTGGTTTTGCTTCCTATAGCCTTATGTACCTTTGTCGGCAGGTTTCATATTAGGCTGTGCAGTTTGTTTTGCAAGCCAGTAGACGGCACTTACAGGTAAGAACCAGCTGTGGACAATGTGGCTGGGTATATACTTGATCCCTGTTTAGTGGGAGAGGCTCTCTATTGCCTCAGGAAGTGGGCTGATTGTGGCATGCACAGTGATCTGAGCTTCCTGTTTAGGTCAGGCTGAGTGGGGGCCACAATGAGCAGGGCCAGACCAGGCAGGTCCACCTACAGGTCACCCAATGACAAGCACATGCTCCAGTACTGAGGGAGAATATAATAGGTGGCCACCAAGTGCCCAGAGCTGTCCTTGGCATGGAACTGGGAGAGCAGCTCCATGGTTTCCTAGCTCCATGCCTAGGCACACCTCTGGGCACTTGGTGGCCACTCTTGTACTCTGCCCTAAGTTCTATATATGGGGATGAGGGTGGACTAAACTCCCAAACCAGGAGATTGGGTACTCCTGATGTCTGGAGATCTCCCTAGATATGGAGCAGAGAGGGCCCCCTTGCACTAAGATCTCTGTACAGGCAGGGTGGGGTGAGTCAGGTTGCTGACCTGGGCAAACAGATGCTCTGAATACCTGAAAATCTGCCTGGGCATGGAATGAGGAAGTTCTCACTGCACCACAATCTATGTCAGAAAGGGTAGAGTGGCTCAGGCTGCTGAACCAGATGAATGGGTGCTCTGAATGCCTGGAGATCTGCCTGGGTGTGGAGTGGAGAGAGCCCTGCTGCTCCATGATCTATGTTCAGGAAGGATGGGGAAGCTCAAGGCTGCTGGTTCAGGCAAGCAGGTGTACCAAATGCCCATATATCTGCCTGGGGATGGAGCAGAGATGGCCTTTCTGCACCAAGAACTCAGGGCAGCATGCTGGTACACCCAGCCATGGCACATGCAGACTGTTTCCTAGGATCAAGTTGGTTCTGGCTACAAGTCTTGCCATCCAGGAAAAACTGCAGCTGTAGCAGCTCTCCTCCTGCCTCAGGCTTACAACAGGGGACAGCACCATTCCAGTGCTTACTGCTGAGGCACTTCCCACAGTTCTGGCTGTGGAGGCCTTTACCCCACTGCAATCTCTGGCCTGAGGGATGCTCCAATCTCTGGCCCGAGACTAATGTGTCTGTGCAGCCA